>NC_000017.11:9582020-9733535 GCF_000001405.40 Homo sapiens | reverse complement strand
ATAAGCTATTGATCTGGAAAACGCATCTTTCTCCATGTTGATAAACAGAGAATACCAGAAGCAACTTGGTTTAACTGACAGAGTTAGTAGTACACCTTCAGAGGGGCAGCATGGTTTTTTCCAGTAATTCAGAGAAGGAACTCCAGAGCCAGGATTACCCGGGTTCAAGTCCTGGCTCTGCTACTAACTAGTTGTGTGACCTTTGGCAGATTAATCTCTCTGTGCCTCAGTTTCTTCACCTGTAAAACAGAGATAATAGTACCTGCCTCAAAAGTTTATTATGAATTAAATGAGTTAATATTGTAAAGTGCTTAGAAGAGTGTCTTGCCCACAGTTAAGTACTGTATAAATGCTCATCAGTGGTAATTATTTTTTATTTTATTTTATTATTATTAAAGTTTTAGGGTACATGTGCACAACGTGCAGGTTAGTTACATATGTATACATGTGCCATGCTGGTGTGCCACACCCATTAACTCATCATTTAGCATTAGGTATATCTCCTAATGCTGTCCCTCCCCCCTCCCCCAACCCCACAACAGTCCCCAGAGTGTGATGTTCCCCTTCCTGTGTCCATGTGTTCTCATTGTTCAATTCCCACCTATGAGTGAGAACATGCAGTGTTTGGTTTTTTGTCCTTGCGATAGTTTACTGAGAATGATGATTTCCAATTTCATCCATGTCCCTACAAAGGACATGAGCTCATCATTTTTTATGGCTGCATAGTATTCCATGGTGTATATGTGCCACATTTTCTTAATCCAGTCTATCATTGTTGGACATTTGGGTTGGTTCCAGGTCTTTGCTATTGTGAATAGTGCCGCAGTAAACATACATGTGCATGTGTCTTTATAGCGCACATCATTATTAACTGCGATCTCTGCAGCTCTAGGATGAAATCAAGTCAGCACATGCTTGATTAGCTCACCATTCCTCAGGACATCATGCTGGTGCTGCCTCACTGCAGGTGATATCCTACTGATAAGATGTAGCTAGAACTGTAATTATATACTCCTATGGGCTATGGCCTCTCCTCCTCTAGACTTCCTGGCTTTCTTCTCTGATCCTGTGGGCCCTTGGAGCTTTTGGCGCTACCTGTATGACTGCCCAGCCCGAGTCTGGACTTGCAAGACCTTCCTTCCACTAGTGGAAAAGAGCAGGAGTGGAGGATAAAGGAGGGGGCCTCAAAACCTGGGCGACTCTTTAGGAGTCAGGAATGGGCTGTGACCATCAGACCAGTGACCAAGTGTAGGAGATCGGTCAGGGTGATGGGAAAAATGGTAGAAAGATGCAAACCTTCTTGGAAGGCCGAGAGGTTTTACAAAGCTTCAGAAAAGGATTTGGCTGAAAGCAGCCAGATTCTCTTATCTGGTGCCTGAAAGCTTAGGTTAGATAACAAGGGGATGTAAAGAAACTGATCTAGGTAAGTCCATTTACTTAGGCCTTGGAACCTGGCCTTTTAAAAATTTTATTATTATTCTTTAAGTTCTAGGGTACATGTGCACAGTGTGCAGGTTTGTTACATAGGTATACATGTGCCATGTTGGTTTGCTGCACCCGTCATTTACATTAGGTATTTCTCCTAACGCTATCCCTCTTCCAGGCCCCCAACCCCCAACAGGTCCCAGTGTGTGATATTCTCCTCCCTGTGTCCATGTATTCTCATTGTTCAACTCCCACTTATGAGTGAGAACTTGCAGTGTTTGGTTTTCTGTCACAAGGAACCTGGCCTTTAGTCATCCGCACAGGACTGCTCTCTCTGGGGAGGGCGACCATGCTGATTACCCACAAGTGTGTTGACTCAAAGCCTTTGTCATTAAACCTGTGCTGAATAAATGCCCACAGGGCCGGCTTGTTGAGGCCACAGCTGCTGACTCTTCACAGCACCCTCCTCGGGGTCTGTAAGTGGCCCATCCCCTAGCCTGCTCTTTCACTGGATACCTGTGTCTGAGTGCCTTCCTTCATCTGTCATTCAGCCAGGGTCTGCAGGTCGGACCTGGCAACCAAGTCTCAGACAGCAGGAACAGATCCAGGCAGAGGATCTGAGCTTCCAGAGGAAGAATGGGAGGCCCCTTTGGCCATCCTGAGCTAGCTCCATCTCTGGCTATGCTCCTCTCTGGCTCAGTGGCTTTCAACTCTTCTCTAACACCCAGGATCTTTGTGGTAGGAAAAAAGCATCCAATGGTTCTCTTATGCTTTCTCCTCAAGGACCACTTGACCAGAAGCCTGCAGCCTATCATCGGATGCATGGCCAAGGTTGGAACCATGACCCTATTGCCTCCATTCCAGGCAGAAATTGGACTCAACCATTTCCCATGCTCTGTTCTCACAGCCTTCTACTGGGTCCTTCTAGAGGGAGAAGCGACCTCAGGGAAGGGGATGCAAGGGTGCCTCAGGCATCCTTGTTGCCGACCCCAGATGGATATATATCCACCAGGGGTCAAGTGTAATTGCCTCTTCCTGAACCTCCACAGTTCAGAGCCTGGAGTGAATGTGTTACAGAGAACACTGCTAAGGCCTGGGACCCTCTCATGATATCCCAACAACCCAAGAGTATTCTAAAGGTTGAGTCCTTAGAAGAGAGAAGCCAGGGAGGTGCATGTCTGAGTTCCAACCCAATCTCTTGGAGGAGGAAGAAAGGGAGACTGAGCTTAGGAAGAGCATGGAAACTAAATGTGACAAATTCCTCTGAAGAGTCAACAGAGGAGAAAGAACCAGATAAAGCAGGAAGACTCCTAGACTCCTATTTACCCAAGAGGACTTGGACAACCATGTCTTCCACAGTGCCTACGCGTACATCAGTGTAAGACTTGAAGAGAACATGGACTTCTTTTGCAATGCAAACACACAGGTTTACTGGTATACATATTGTCCTCTGGGGTCAGGTGGCTGGGTCTTCTTCCTTTCTCTGTTATCTCAGTTCTACCTTCTAACTGTTGCTCTGATCAAAGGCAAGTTGTCTTTTTCACTGGGGTAAAAAATGGACTCCATTCCTCGTTTTTTTTTTTTTTTTTTTTGAGATGGAATCCAGTCTGTCGCCCAGGCTGGAGTGCAATGGCTCGATCTCGGCTTGCTGCAACCTCCGCCTCCTGGGTTCAAGCAATTCTGCTGCCTCAGCCTCCCGAGTAGCTGAGATTACAGGTGCACACCACCACGTCCAGCTAATTTTTGTTATTTTTAGTAGAGCAGGGTTTCGCCATGTTGGCCAGGCTGGTCTCAAACTCCTGACCTCAGGTGATCTGCCTTCCTCCGCCTGCCAAAGTGCTAGGATTACAGGCATGAGCCACCATGCCCAGCCCATTCTCCTTCTTAAGAGAAAAAAAATGTAGCAGAGACATGTCAATGAGTCATGCTATATGTATGAAGGAAGACTTAATTCTTGGGATCAGGTGTCTTTTTTTTTTTCTTTTTTTTTTTTGAGAACAAATGTTTCCCGTCAAAAAAGGAAGTATTTGCAGAAGAAGGACTGTTTAAGTACAGGTGACCTCAACTGTTGAGCCCCAGGCCTGGGGTCAGGCTTAGCAGCTTCTAAGTAAGAAATGATAGGATATTTGTAAGAGTCGCTACTGAAGAGTGTGCAGAGCTTTAGGAAACGGGACAGTCAACTAAGAGTCTGTCAGGCAGATGTGGAACTCACGTCTTTTCAAGTACAAGCCCTCCGGAGAATGGCCTGAGGAGGCTTCCACTTCTTTAGAAAACAGCAAGTCATTGGAACGAAAAGCACTTTTAGATTTTAGAAAGAACTCAAGTAACTACTTTCTGATAGCAATAGCAACGAACCAAGTTTACTCAGCAGAAATGAAACAAGATCATTTATCAGACTTGAATAATTCAGACAGCCATGCGTGTTTCATGGACAGGATTTTATTAAAATTGTACATAGATCTCATATTTAAATTAAAAAATGGACTTTTTTTCTAGTATCAAAATAGTTATTTTTAAAATACCTTGAAAAACTTTAATACAATTTTTAATATATTAAATATTCACCTGAACTCTCAGCCATTTATCTCCCATCTCTCTTTGCTAGAATCTTGCCTTACCATCACTATCATTCTTTTGTTTTTTTTTTCTTTTTGGCATCTTTAATGCTTATCCCAGAAAAGCATTAAAAATAAAATATTTTTCTTTAAGTCCACAATTTAAAAAAAAAAAAGAAAGAAAAAGGAAAAGCCATTGACAGTATTTGACATGACATTGAAGATTCTTATTAAACCAGCCTCATCTTGTTTGCCCACATCCAAAACTCTTTAGTAAATATCAGTTCTTGCCCTGAAACTGGTAATACTGACCCAATAGCATCCTCTAGTGGCCAAACTGTAGCAAAGCACCCAATGATGCAGGAAGGTTTTCGACCTTGGGTTATATGGACCTTGGGTGTTGGAAGTCTAGATATGGAGACCCCCCACCACAAAAAAAAAAAAATTTTTTTTTAGAGATTACAAGACAACGGGTTTCCTGGAAACCCATTCTCAACATGAGCTGCCTACAGTTGCTTGGCAAAGTCCCAAGAATGCCAGCGTCACACAATACTGACACGCTCCATCAAAAGCTGGACTCCGGTAAGGTTTTCTTTCGACCTAAAGAAAGAGTGTGATATTTGACTCTCTGAAAGGTGCCATAAGAAGCCTGCTCCCCTGGAACAGTCCTTTGTGACATGCCCAGTGCACTGCCTCTCGGGGCCCTGCTGGCTTTACGAGGGAGGCGGAGAGAGCTGGGGGCTGACCAGACATCCCTCTCGAGCCGGCTGCCCAGGCCCCTGGCCAGGCCCTCTGGGATCCTGAGGGCAGGAGGTGAGCCTGGAGCCTGCCCGTCCATGGCAGGGCTCAGCCCGCCACTCACCAGGGAGACGGGGGGCACCTGTGGAGAGACCTCTGCCCTCTCATTCCTCCTGTTCTCCTTCTTCCGAAACACGGACCTCAGAAGGGTGAGTGTCCCCTGCAGGGGTCTGTCTAGCTCAGAGGTGCCTCGGCGACTGTCTTTGCTGTTTCCAGAGAATCCCATATAGGGGGAGGGTGGGCTGCTTTTGCTTCCCATCTGGAAGCTCTCCTTCCAGTTCATGGCCTTCTGGCCCTCCGGTCGAGCTGGTTTCTCATGCTCCACTGAAGGCATCACAGTGAGAGGCAGGTCAAACTTTCTGGGAAGCTTGATGTCCTGCCCTGCATTTTCCTTGAGTTTCCTTGCTGTGTTTGGACCATCTGAGTTTCCAGGGGCCAGACAGTGGTTGGGTTGAGCCGAGGGACAGGGCACCCCGGCTGGACCTCTTTCAATGGCCCGCCCACCATCTTCGCTGTTAGCAGGAAGGGCGACGTTGGACCTCGGCGATGCTGACTTCTCATCCTCACCCGCAGTGCCCGTCAACAGCGACACAATGGACTGGCTCGTGGACCGAGGTCTTCGTCTGGATTCCAAGTACTCCACCAACTCGACGGAGGCACCTGGTGGTTTCTCCTTGGATCCAAAGGACCACCGCAGAGGCATGGTCTTGAATGGTCCCTGCTTGGCTCGGGAAGTGGTGGGTGCCTTCATGCTAATGCTTCTGCCTTTCACGCCCCGTACCAAACGCCTGGGCTCCAACCCTCCTGAAAGAGACAGAGAGACTGTCAGTGTACAAGCCACCCTACAGCTGAAATGCCAGTCATCTAACGTTCACTGAGCACCTCTGATGTGGGAGGCACTGTGCTGGGCACTGGAGACACAGCAGTGAAGAAGCCACATAGGGTTCCTGCCTTTGGGGAACAGCAACGGTTTCACCCACTCTTCCTCAATATCCACTTACACGTTTGAAGCCACAGGGTAAGCCAGTGCCAAAGAAGGTATCTACATGCCGGGCAGCACAGACACCTGGCAAAGCTCAGTCTCACGGGCATCTAGCCTTAAGAATGAACATCAGTTTCATCTATCTTTAAATATTCCTATGAAACGGAATGCCCAGCAAAAGTTCCTGCTTTTCTAGGTCATATTAGGTCCTTGTACCTTTCAAATGCAAGAATCTCAGATATCCTACCCTGGGCTAAAAAAGAAAAAAAAAATGGAATTAAAAAAATATGGTGAAAACCACAATTACTTTTGCACCAACCTATACAACTTGTAAAAATATATACACGTGCATGTATTATGCATGCATGTGAAAACATACAAATAAGAATAGAGAAATAGATGCCAAAAACAAGGTGTGGATAGGGCCATGGCAGTGCTGTTTGTGATGGATTTTTTTTCTTAATTCTTTCCTATATCTCCACATTTCTAAAAGGAACATATGTACAACCAAGGTTGTGTATTTTTGCTTAAGAAATTCTCAGTCTTGGGAGGCTGAGGCAGGTGGGTCACAAGGTCAGGAGTTCGAGACCAGCCTGACCAACATGGTGAAACCCCATCTCTACTAAAATACAAAAATTAGCTGGGCGTGGTGGCACATGCCTATAATCCCAGCTACTCAGGAGGCTGAGGCAGGAGAATCACTTGAACCCGGGAGGTGGAGGTGGAGGTTGCAGTGAGCTGAGATCATGCCACTGCACTCCAGCCTGGGTGACAGAGCAAGACTCCATCTCCAAAAAAAAAAAGAAAGAAATTCTCAGTCATCAGTCACTGTACCATTAAAATGCCTTGTTTTACATGATGTCTGCAATCATTGAGAAAGAAATCTTCAGCTAAAACACACAATCCACCTGGCGCAACTGAAACACACAACCTACATGGCGCAAGGACAGTCACACACATTTGGAGAAAGGTTGCAGGGTGACCTCTGAAGTCTGCCCCACGGGTGGCCACTCTCACTGTGCCACTTCATCATAGTGTTTGAGGGTGCTATGGACTGAAGGTTTGTGTCCCCTGAGATTCATACATTGAAGCTCTAGTCCCCAAGGCGATGGTTTAAGGGGGTGATGCTGCTGGGTGGTAATTAGGTCTTGAGGGTAGAGCCCTCGTGAATGGGATTAGTGACCTTCTAAGAAGAGGTTGAAGAGCTACCCAGCTCTCTTCCTGCCATGTGAGGACACATGAAGCTGTCTGCAGCCGGGAAGAACCTCTCCAGGGCCCCATCATGCTGGCACCCTGATCTCAGACTTCCAGCCTGCAGGACTGTGGGGAAGAAATGTCTGTTGTGGATAAGCTGCCCAGGCGTGGTATTCTGTTCTAACAGCCTGAATGAACAATGAAACAGAGAAGCTCCAAAAGGGAGCAGAACTCCTGCCATAAAAAGCCCCCTGTCAGCGGCACAGCCAACACGATGTGTGACACAGAGAAGGGCCAGAGATTGTCAGGTGCACGGGTGAGAGCTCAGGAAAGGCAAAAGAATGAGGTGCAGGGGAGTGAATGCTGCAGGAACGCGGGGGAGGCAAAGTGCACATCGACCAAGCACCCCTGGAGAAATGGCTGGAGCAGGAAGAAGCCGAAAGCCCATGACCTCCAAAAGGAGTTAGAAAGCATCTCAAGGATGTGACTTTCCAGGTTTCTCATAAAGAATGTTTGATTTTTTCTTTCCTCAAAGCATTTCTTTAGATTAGCCAGTCATAGACACAATTTTACCCAAAATACTCTGTAATTTTGGTTTAGATTGACCTTATTAAATTCCCAGCCCTCGGGGGGTGGGGAAGAAATGTTCTGGGGTCTGAGATGTGTGTGAAGTTTATTTCTTTTTTTCTCTTCCACAGCCCTGGGAAGGGCAGAAAGGGACGCTTTGTATTAGTAGGACAAAGCTGTGACTTTTAGCCTTTCAAAATGAGAGCATGTTGCCTGGAGCCCCGGCAGGTGGCGAGAGGAGTTGGCAGCTGCCCGAAATAGCAGTTCTTCCTTTCTTCCTGGTAGGAAAGTCTCTGAGGCCAGGGCTGACATCAACGCCTGAGCTACATTTCATGGGAACCACAGATGCCCACGGAACTCGTGTCTCCTCTTTCTCGAGATGGCAGTGAAAAAGTACCCCTGTTATCTTTATTCTCCTTCCATTTATTGGGCTAGGATAACAGGATCTGAGACAGTGATGGCTTTAATAAAATTGAGAAATAAGCAGCATAAGAACAGAAGGGAATAAGAGGCCCCCACGCTCACATCACACTTCCTCTCTACAAAGTCACTTCCCGTCTAGGGTGGGTGCAAGTCCTGGTACCCCTCCCCCGGGGAGATGGGCAAAACTTCTGGGATGCTGGGAGACAGATGCTGAACACAGTGGTGTTCAGAGACCCCTGGGCACTAACTCTGGTTCAACTCCCGCCCCACCCCACCCCGAGAAGATTCTGTTTCCAGCCAGTCTGAGCCTAGAGCCTTACACTGCATTAAAGACACAGGCCGTTAGGTTCTTCCTGAAGGTTATAAAGCCCCACAGCATTCATAATGTGCTTTTTGGACCCCACAAGAGCCCCCTCCATGCAGATGGCACCAGTGCAGCTGACAGGCTCAGTCCCCTGACACCCCCTCCACACCGCAGCTCTGGAGCCAGCAGATGCTGCTTTGAGAACGGCCACATCTGTTCCTGTCCCTGTGTGGCCACCTTGATTTCTACATGACTTTTTTATTTTTGGCCAATGAAGTATGCATCAATCCATACTCAGGTGTTTTGTGAACAGGGCTGGGGACCTCTTGGTGCCATGCTTAGTGCCCCCCTGCCCCCCGCCACAGAACAAGACTTTTCCTAGTTGAGCACCTTCTGTCTCTTCAAGGGCTTCCATCGTGCTTCATACATCTACCCGCTTACTCCTTCAAAAAATATTTAATAAGCACATGCCATGTGCCAAGGACTGTCTTCAACGCTTGGGATACAGTTGAAGGAAAAAGAATATGGTGCACCTGTCTTTATGAGGTTTGGCAAAAGCAAGAATACATGATACCATACAATGCTTCTTTTCTTTTCTTTCTTTCTTGAGACAGAGTCTCGCTCTTGTCCCCCAGGCTGCAGTCCAGTGGTGTGATCTCGGCTCACTGCAACCTCCACCTCCCGGATTCAAGTGATTCTCCTGCCTCAGCCTCCCCAGTAGCTGGGATTACAGGCGTCCACCACCACGCCCGGCTAATTTTTGTATTTTTAGCAGAGACTGGGTTTCACCACGTTGGCCAGACTGGTCTTGAACTCCTGACCTCAGGTGATCCACCCGCCTCGACCTCTCAAAGTGCTGGGATTACAGGCGTGAGCCACCATGCTGGGCCCCATATGATGTTTCTTGAGCCGAGTACAATTACTTCACAGCCTGATGACCATTTCCACGTGGAGGTCAGAGTGCAACCTGGGACAAGCCTACCCCCCAACTTTCCTCTGGTCCCCGTTAAGGTAAGAAAAAGCTACACCGATGAGTTGAAGCTTCTCCATCTCCAAGACTGAACCAGCAGGACGAAGCGGGGAAGAAAAAGGCTGGCTGTCACACCACCAGCCCCTGGGAGCCAAAGCTGCTGCCCTTTTCATCACTCCAAGAGCCACTGCCATACATGAGAGGGTGGGACAGAAAAGAAAACAGCAACACGCATGAGGGGGTCTGGCGGTCAGAGAAGAATAATCACCAGAACCATCAGAGCAGGCTGCTGATGAAACAGATGAAACGTGACAGCTTAAAATGATCAACAAACTTGCATCTCAAGGAAGATAATGAAAAAACAGGGACTGAAAAACGTGACTGACCAAGAGATAGAAACTATAAGGGAAGCCGGGCGCGGTGGCTCACGCCTGTAATCCCAGCACTTTGGGAGGCCGAGGCGGGTGGATCACCTGAGGTCAGGAGTTCAAGACCCGCCTGACCAACATGGTGAAACCCCATCTCTACTAAAAATACAAAACCCCGTCTCTACTAAAAATACAAAAATTAGCCAGGTGTGGTGGTGCGCACCTGTAATCCCAGCTGTTCGTGAGGCTGAGGCAGGAAAATCACTTGAACCTGGGAAGGGGAGGTTGCAGTGAGCCAAGATCGTACCACTGCACTCCAGCCTGGGCCACAGAGCGAAACTCCATCTCAAAAAAAAAAAGAAAAGAAAAGAAAAAAAAGGGAGGGAGGGGAGGGGAGGGGAGGGGAGGGGAGGGGAGGGGAGGGGAAGGGAAAGGAAGGGAAGGGAAAAGAGAAGAGCAAGAAACTACAAGGGAAAAGGCAGGAGACTCAGAAGATAGATCCAGGAGACTCAACAGCAAATCACAAAAACGTCAAAAGCAGGAGAGACAATCATTAAACAAAAACCAAAAGACATTTCTCTAAAGACAGGCCTGAGTCTGTAGAACAAAAGGCACCCCCAAGTTCTAGGTAAGGTTGAAGAACAAAAACCCGCACCTAGGCATATTCTGGGAGAATTTCTAAACTCCAAGGTCAAGGGGAGCATCTTAAAAGCTTCCCACCAGAAAAAAACAAGTGACTCTCCTGTAAACAAAAAAAGCCTGGGCTTCTCACCTGCAACCCTGGGGCCTGGGAGGCTGTGGGAAAACAGCTTCAGATGCCTGAGAGAAAAGGACTGCGACTCAAGAGTCGTGCAACCAGCCAAGCTGCCATTCACTCCCAAGTGAAAGGAAATATTTGTGGCTGGGCAAAGATTTTGAGAACGTATCACACACACTCGAATGAACCAGACCCACCACCTCAAGATGGGGGGTGACAAAGAGGAGAAAAATAGTGGTGCACAGTGGACACTGCAATCCATGTACTGTCCACCACCCTACATGCAGGACAGACGGCTCAGAATGTGTCACATAAAGCTAAGTGCTGCGAGGGGAATTTTGATAAGTCTGGAATAGAAAGTACTAGGCCCTGTCAGCAAAATCTAAGAGTTTGCAAAAGAGACCAGAAGGGGCACATGAAAGTCTTTCAAAGCTCTCATTTTGGGGGGAATGACAGGGAAAAGAGTGACAACAGATGTGTTATATATTTCTCATCTGATTGGAGGAAGGAGAGAAGACAGTGGTGAAAGAGAGCACCTTGCAGGAAATAACTGGCTTCTAAATACTGGGATAGAGAAAGTAGCAATTAACAAATTGCTACTTTGTGACCTGAGCGGCAAAACTTCCCAATGAACCAGGAAACAAAGCGCGACTCGCTCGCATCAGCAACAATAAGGAAAGGAAAAGAAGAAACAGTCATATAAAATCTTTAAAAACGAAATGAACAAAATCAAGTTTCGCAGCTGTTACATTACATCGGCATGGACTGAAGGCTCCAATTATAAGACGGCCTCTGAATTTTTGGTAAAAAGAAAACAAAAAACCCAACACCAGGCTGTTTACCAGAAACCACTTAAAACTAACTCAAAAGGAAAGGTGCCTAAAGCCCAAGAGAGGGGCAAAATGATAGCAGGCAAATGCGAAAGAGAGAAGGCAAAAAGAAAGAAGAAAAGGGTGGGATTATTAAACTTGGACAAAGTAGAATTTAAGGTTGAAAACATTAAGCAGGGATAAAGAGCCACATTATAATAATAAAAAGCACAATTTATAAAAGAGATCTAACAGTCATAAACCCGTAGACACCTAGTAACAAAGCAGCTAACAAGATAAAGCGAAAATTATTAAAATGCAAGGATTACTTGATTAAAGGTACAGCTAGGCTGGGCGCAGTGGCTCACGCCTGTAATCCCAGCATTGTGGGAGGCTGAGGCAGGTGGATCACCTGAGGAGTTTGAGACCAGCTTGGCCAACATGATGAAACCCTATCTGTACTAAAAATACAAAAAAAAAAAAAAATTAGCTGGGTGTGGTGGCGGGCACCTGTCACCTGTAATCCCAGCTACTGGGGAGGCTGAGGCAGGACAATCACTTGAACCTGGGAGGTGGAGGTTGCAGCGAGCCGAGATCACACCATTGCACTCCAGCCTGGGCAACAAGAGCGAAACTCGGTCTCAAAAAAAAAAAAAAAAAAAATACAGCTATACAGGAAGGTTTCATTATATTTCCTTCCTGCCAGGAGTCCCAGAGAAGGTACATTTAAAGACATAGGGGACTTGAATAGCCAATGAACTCACCTAATTTAATAGTTATGATATAAAGCTCACATCCCTCAAATAGACAATATACATTAGTTTATACATGCACAGAGCATTTACAAAATAGTAATCATGTACTTGACCACAAAAAGGGACTAATGTGTGACCTTGTGGCGCAATGGTAGCACGTCTGACTCCATAAAGGGAATAATTTTTGAAAACCACATTCTTGGATCACAATCCACAAAAATCAAAGAAGAAAGTTGACCAAAATAATCTGAAAGAGTTGAGACTTCCAGATAACTTCTAGATCAAAGAAGAAATCAAAACCGAAATGAAATACTATCTGGAAAGTGCTGAAAAAGAGAAAAACAAAACCTTTGAGGCCCAATAAAAGCCATAGAGGAAACTTATCATCAGAAGCGCCCATACTGAGAAGCTGTGAAAGCTTAACTTTCAGGGCACCTTATTACCAAGGGGTCTCTGGGAAGGACTCCTAGCCATTTTTTTTTACATGGTCATGGTTGTATAAAAATTGCAAAAGTAAGATGTTGTAATATTCTTTTTCTTCTGGAACCTTCCCCCACACCCACCTCAATTATATAAGTTGCAGTCTCCAAAACACTTGGATCCGTTCATTTTGGTTTAAGATTCCTTCATTATTATGATGATCATAACCAGGGCTACCGGAAAGGTGGTGTTCTCAAGCTGTCAGCATTTCTATACAGAGAGCTGCTGGCACTTTGCAGTGGTGACTTTTTACTGAGCGGGGCTGCTCCTGGGCATTGCAGGACACTTAGCATCCTTGCGCCCCACCCGGGGAATAAATGCCAGTAGTCACCTCTATTAATTTTGACCGTCAAAAAAACCCGGCTGGGCGTGGTGGCTCACACCTGTAATCCCAGCACTGTGGGAGGCCGAGGTGGGCAGATCACCTGAGGTCGGGAGTTCAAGACCAGCCTGACCAACACAGAGAAACCCTGTCTCTACTAAAAATACAAAATTAGCCGGGCGTGGTGGTGCATGCCTGTAATCCCAGCTACTTGGAAGGCTGAGGCAGGAGAATTGCTTGAACCTGGGAGGCAGAGGTTGCAGTGAGCAGAGATTGCGCCACTGCACTCCAGCCTGGGCAACAAGAGTGAAACACCATCTCAAAAAACAAAAAACACCCTCTCCTACATATTTGCAAACTCATGATAGTGGGAAGGAGAGGTGGTACCAACCACTATTTGAAAACTGATATGCTAGATTTTTGTCTTGCCCAGGTTTAGTAAGAATTAAAAAAAAAAAAAAGCTGGATTTTTCTTTTCTTTCTTTCTTTTTTTTTTTTTTTTTTTGAGATGGAGTCTCTGTCGCCCAGGCTGGAGTGCAGTGGCGCAACCTCGGCTCACTGCAACCTCCACCTTGCAGGTTTAAGCGATTCTCCTGCCTCAGCCTCCCAGGTAGCTGGGACTACAGGCACACACCACCATGCCCAACTAATTTTTGCGTTTTTAGTAGAGACGGGGTTTCACCACATTGGCCAAGCTATTGAGAAACTCCTGACCTCAAGTGATCTGCCTGCCTCGGCTTCCTAGTCTTTCTTTTTTTTTGAGACAGGGTCTCACTCTGTCACCCAGGCTGGAGCACAGTGGTGCGATCAAGGCTCAGTGCAACCTCCACTTCTTGGGCTCAAGTGATTCTCCAGCCTCAGCCTCCTGAGTAGCTGGGATCGCAGTCATGTGCCATCATGCCCAGCTAATTTTTGTATTTTTAGTAGAGACAGGGTTTTGCCATGTGGACCAGGCTGGTCTCGGGCTCCTAGCCTCAGGTGATCCACCTGCCTCGGCCTCCCAAAGTGCTGGGATTACAGGCATGAGCCACCACGTCCAGCAAACGCTGGATTTTTCAACCGTCTCAGAACTTCTAAAACAGCTTTCAAAATCTGTCACTATTTTAGTCAAACTCCAAGAGGGAAAGCTCCCTTAGGAAGCAAGGCTCTTGCAGTCTCTCTCCATGTGAAAGCGACTCTAATCTGGAATGTATGTCTACAGAGCCTGAGAGCCAAGACCTGGCACCCAGAGGGAACGGGTCTATTTCAGCCCCACCACTTTCTAGGGGTGAGCTTTACAACTAGGTGCGACTGGTTGCTTCACACCGAATCTCAGATATCCCCTTGGTAGGGCTATAAGGTCACCTCTCCCAAGGGTTTTGAGGACTGAATTAGAGAATGCGAGTAAAATGCCTGCAAGGGTCTGCAGGACAGTTATCATCCCTCCCCCAGGCCTCTCAGGGGTCTCTGAGGAGTTTTTCTAGAGCTGTGCCTCACATCTGTCTGAATACCATGTGAAAAACTTGGACCATCCTTTGAAATCGCCTCCTCCTGGGAGGATATCAAGCACATTTCTCCTTGGGAGAACTGAGAAATGGCCTGAGGTACTTTGCCGTTAAACAGAGCTGGGATGAACTTTTGAGCTTATCATAGGCAATGCTGACAGGGATGAATGAGCTTGAGAAAGAACATCTTTTTTGTTGTAGAGACTTTTTTTTGGACACGGAGTTTCACTCTTGTTGCCCAGGCTGGAGCGCAATGGTGCGAGCTCAGCTTACTGCAACCTCCACCTACTGGGTTCAAGTGATTCTCCTGCCTCAGCCTCCCGAGTAGCTGGGATTACAGGCATGAGCCACGGTGCCCAGCCATAGACACTATTTTAAATGTGCAATCATGAAAATATAAGGGGAAAAGAAATGTCCAGCCAGGACAAGTCAAAACAAAACATACTGCATGAAATAGTATGCCTGCATAGAAACGGATTCTTTTTTTCTTTTTCTTTTTTTTGAGACGGAGTTTTGCTCTTGTTGCCCAGACTGGAGTGCAATGGCACGATCTCAGCTCACCACAACCTCCGTCTCCCGGGTTCAAGCAATTCTCCTGCCTCAGCCTCCTGAGTAGCTGGGATTACAGGCATGCACCACCATGCCCGGCTAATTTTGTATTTTTAGTAGAGATGGAGTTTCTCTATGTTGGTCAGGCTGGTCTCAAACTCCTGACCTCAGATGATCTGCCCACCTTGGCCTCCCAAAGTGCTGGGATTACAGGTGTGAGCCACTGCTCACAGAAACGTATTCTAAGGAAATCAGACAACTCCAAGATGCACAGACATGCTATGAGTGTCATGTCTACTCATGAAATTTTGGCAGCCCAAATGCCACACGCTGGGGAAGGAATTAACTGAACTCTGACACATAAATCACTGTAAACCAGAGGGGTGGACTCAATGAGAATCTAAAACCACTTGTAGCTTTAAGATCCTATCATCATCTCTATTCACTCACAAATATGTAACCAGAGTCTGGTACATGCCTGGTGTAGTAAATCTTTGCAGCATCACGGATAGGCTCTTAATAACCTGAACTTGAACTTGAAGCAAAACAACATATAACTAAACCAATTTTCCCGTAGACTAATTGATATAAATAATAGTTAAGCTCCTACAGCATATTTCTCGTCCCAAAAGCATCGCCAAACTTCTAAAAAGACCCAAACACTTCTACTATTAAACATTAAAATAAATGTGAGCTACGGCTGGGCGCGGTGGCTCACACCTGTAATCCCAGCACTTTGGGAGGCCGAGGTGGGCAGATCACGAGATGAAGAGATCGAGACCATCCTGGCCAACATGGTGAAACCCCCATCTCTACTAAAAATACAAAAATTAGCTGGGTGTGGTGGTGCGTGCCTGTAGTCCCAGCTACTCGGGAGTCTGAGGCAGGAGAATCGCTTGAACCCGGGAGGCGGAGGTTGCAGTGAGCTGAGATCGCCCCATTGCACTTCAGCCTGGCAACAGAACAAGACTCCGCCTCAAAAAAAAAAAAAATGTGAGCTATACATACATTTAACAAAAGTAACGAGTAAGATAATTATTTGCCCACTTATTCCAGCTCAGGATCATGAATGGCAGGAACCAGCCCTGGATAGGCCCCCCTCCCATTTCAGGGAGACTCGCACTCACACTGAGACCGTGCAGACAATCAGATCACCTAATGGTATATCTTTAGGATGTGGGAGGAAACTGGAGCACCCGGAGAAAACCCACGCAGACATGGGGAGAATGAGCAAACTGCATTCTCCAGTAGTCCCAGCCAGGAATCAACTATTTTTTCTCATCAACATTATAGCAAAATGACCGCTGAACAAAATGACATTTTTAAAGGCCTGCTGTATTGCATTGGGTACTTGGATACAAATGATGACATAAAGTATAAAGAAATAAGCAGCTGATGAATACACACACACACACACACACACACACACACACTGTGCCCAAGCAATTCCACTCCTAAGTATACACCCAACAGAAATGCAGACGTGCAGACACCAAGGACAGGATCAAAAATGTTCATAACAGGACTACTGGTAATGGCTGCAAACCAGAAACAACTCTGAAACCGAACCGCAATACAAAATGTAAACATGTAAACTATTCTGACAATGTAAGGACTTTTTTTTTTTTTTTTTTTGAGAGGGAGTCTCGCTCTGTTGCCCAGGCTGGAGTGCAGTGGCACCATCTTAGCTCATTGCAACCTCCACCTCCTGGGTTCAAGTGATTCTCCTTCCTGGGTTCAAGTGATTCTCCTGCCTCAGCCTCCTGAGTAGCTCAGATTACAGGTGCCCGCCACCATGTCCAGCTAATTTTTGTATTTTTAGTAGAGACGGGGTTTCACCATGTTGGTCAGGCTGGTCTCAAACTCCTGACCTCAGGTGATCCTCCCACCTCGGCCTCCCAAAGTGCTGGGATTACAGGCATGTGCCACCGCACCTGGCTCAATGTAAGAAATTTTAATAAGGGAAATGGGGAGATTTGTCAAGTAGCAGACATTGCAGATAGCTTCATGACAAAACTTGCATTGGATTTTTGGAGAATCCATAAATAACTCAAGAAACCATAAATCTGTAACAACTCAGGGTGCTCCCCTTGATGACCAGGCCAGATTTCTCCAGGTCAGACCACAAGGCTAGCCTCCACAACAGATTCCAGCCCATGAATGAACCTGCAGAAAGGAAGAGGTAGTTCCCCCACCTCACCCTGCACCCCCTCTTCTTCAAACCCCTGTGTTTGCTTTTTTATTGACAATTGTCAACAGACAACAGTTCGCTCTCTCTCTCATAAGTAAATTTCTGTGCAGAGAACTATGTATCTCCAAGCTGTTTTTTATTTAAAACAGTCATGATTGAGAGAGATACAAGGCAGCAGGGTGCTAGAATATTCTATTTTTTAATCTGGTATATGAGGATGTTCATTTTATGAAAATTTGTCAGCTGTATACTTAATATACTTTAAGTATTGAAGGATTAATATACTTTACTTACATATACTTATATATATAATTGTATGCAATATGTAAAGTATACTAATCACAAGTATATATAATATTTCTATTAAAATTGTATTTAAAAAACTAAGTTAGGACCTAACAAGAAATAAGGAACTAAAAAAATAATTTGAACATGTTACCACTTTCTGGCTGAAGGAACACAAAGGCTAAAGATCACACACTCACACAAAGACACACAAACACACACACACAGACATACAGGCACAAACAATACACACACAAGCACACTCATACACACAAACACATTCTCACATACACAGACACATACACACACAGACACACACACAGATACACAAACACAGACACACACACATATACACAGATACATACACATAGACACACAGAAACACACACACAGACACATATACACAGATACATATACATAGACACACAGAGACACACACACAGATACACAGAGACACACACAGACACATATACACAGATACATACACATAGACACACAGAGACACACAGATACACAGACACACACACACAGAGACACACACATAGACACAAACACGCAGACACATACCTACAGAGACACACACACACACACACACATACACACACAGAGACACACACAGACACACACACATACACACAGACACACACACAGGCACATACACATAGAGACACACACACAAGAAACACACACACAGACATACACTCACAGAGACACACACACAAAGACACAAACACACAGACACACACACAGAGACACACACACACAAAGACACAGACACACACACAGACATACACACAGGCACAAACACACATACACAGACATACAGTTCTTACATAGTAATGCTGGTTTTTTTGTTTGTTTTTTTGAGACAAGGTCTCACTCTGTCACCCAGGCCGGAGTGCAGTGGTGTGCTCACAGCTCACTGCAGCCCTAACTTCCCAAGCTCAAGAGATCCTCCCACCTCAGCCTTTTGAGTAGCTGGGACAACAGGCACATGCCACCATGCCTGGCTAATTTTTTATAGAGATGGGGTCTCACTATGTTGCCAGGGCTAGTCTTAACTTCTTGGACTCACGCGATCCTCCCACCTTGGCCTCCCAAAATGCTAGGGTTCCAGGCGTGATCTGACAACGCTCAGCCTTAAGGACTTTGTTTCTGTGGTTACCCCCTTGTTCCCAGCACTGTCATCAACATCTCCCTGTAGACCTGATCATCTGAATGCGTCTCTACTATCTCCTACTTAGCTGTCAACCCGCCTTCCTTCAGTCACCTCGCCTGCTGGAGTGTGTACACACTGCCACTTCCTCCACCCCAGCCTCTGGTCCACCTGCTGCAGGCAGGCCTCCCTTCTCTCCAGCCATGGCAGATGCTCCTGGCAAGTCACCGGTGGCCTTCCAGCCTGATGGAATCTACCCATCCTCACCTTACTCAGCCTCTCAGCAGCATCCAGTACAGTTGGCTGCTTCCTTAAGATTCTCTTTTTTTCATCTGTCAACCACACTCACCTGGTTTTCTTCCCCTCACTGGCTGCTCCTTCTCCGTTCTTTTCTTGGCCTCTCCACCTTTGCTCAACCCTTAGATGTTGGAGAGCCCCCAGGTTTGGTCTCGGGTCTTCATTTTTTTTTTTTTTTTTTTGAGATGGAGTCTTGCTCTGTTGCCCAGGCTGGAGTGCAGTGGTGTGATCTAAGCTCACTGCAACCTCCACCTCCCAGGTTCAAGCGATTCCCCTGCCTCAGCCTCCTGAGTAGCTGGGATTACAGGCGTGCGCCACCATGCCCAGCTAATTTTTTTTGTATTTTTAGTAGAGACGGGGTTTCACCATGTTGGTCAGGCTGGTCTCGAACTCCTGACCCCATGATCTGCCCACCTCGGCCTCCCAAAGTGCTGGGATTACAGGCGTGAGCCACTGTGCCCGGCCTTCATTCTTTTTCATCTGTACTATTTCCCCAGGGGAGCTCAGCCAGCACTGTTCCATCCATGTGCTGATGACTCTCAAATATTTCTCTCCACTCCCCAGTTATCACATTGATGTGATGTCTTAGCAGGGTCCCCCAACCCCTGGGCTGTGGACAAGTACTGATCCACAGCCTGTTAGGAATCGGGCCACAGAGCAGGAAGTGAGTGGTGAGCAAATGAGCGAAGCTTCATCTGTATTTACAGCTGCTCCCCATCACTCGCATTACCGCCTGAGCTCCGCCTCCTGTCAGATCAGCAGGCGTATTAGATTCTCATAGGAACACAAAGCCTATTGTGAACTCTGCACGTGAGGGATGTAGGTTGCATGCTCCTTATGAGAATCTCATGCCTGATGATCTGAGGTGGAACAGTTTCATCCCAAACCATCCTCACCTCAAGTGTGTGTAAAAATTGTCTTCCATGAAACCGGTCCCTGGTGCCAAAAAGCCTGGGGAATGGTGTCTTACAGGATTTTCAAAATTACTGTGTCAAAAAATTCTTGACTTCCCTCCAGAATGGAGTGTTCCTACCCAACTTTCTCCCACCTCATTAACTGTGCAGCAATTCCCCTCGTTATTTAGACCTTAAGCAAGGAGTCATCCTTGACTATTCTCTTTCCTTCACACTGCACACCCCACATCAGCAAATCTTAGCAGCTCCAGCTTCAGTATACATCCAGTTTGACCATCTCTTATCTAACATGCTAGTTCAAACCACCACTGTCTCCCACCTGGATATAACCATGTTAGTCTCCTGAATGATCTTCCTACGTCCCCACTCTTGCCCCCTGTGATGTCTTCTCCACACAGTAGCCAGAGTAGACTCTCTACAAACTATAAATCAGATCAACCACTTCCCTGCTCAAAACTCTAAGCTAAAAAAGTTGATTTTATGGAGGTAGGGAGTAGAATGATGGTTGCCAGAGGCCGGGAATGGGGGCAGATGAAGAGAGGTGGGTTGATAGGTACAAATAGGCCAGGTGCGGTGGCTCATCCCTGTAATCCCAGCACTTTGGGAGGCCGAGGCAGGCAGATCACGTGAGGTCAGGAGTTTGAGATCAGCCTGACCAACATGATGAAACCCTGTCTCTACGAAAAGTACAAAAATTAGCCAGGCGTAGTGGCAGGCGCCTGTAATCCCAGCTACTCTAGAGGCTGAGGAAGGAGTATTGCTCGAACCCGGGAGGCAGAGGTTGCAGTGAGCCGAGATCATGCCACTGGACTCCAGCCTGCGACAGAGTGAGACTCTGTCTCAAAAAAAAAGTACAAATATACAGTTAGATAAAATAAGTTCTCATGTTTAATAGCACAGGAAGGTGACTACAGTTACCAACAATATATTGTATATTTCAAAACAGCTAGAGAGATTTGAAATGTTCCCGTCACAAAGAAATGATAAATGTTTGAGGTGATGTATATTCTAAATACCCTAGTTTGTATGTAATGAACACATTGTACGCATGTATCAAACTATCATATGTACCCCAAATATATGTACAATTATTATGTGTCAATTTTTTAAAAACAATGATTAAAGCAGAAGCATTAACAAACAAACAAACAAACAAACAAACAAAAACACCTCTCCACTCGCTATCCACTACACTTAGAATAGAGTCCAAACTTTATACCTCTAGCTCAGAAAGGTAGGTTCTAACATGGCCCCTGTCCACTCCTGCTCTCTCTACTCCTGGGTGTCTCTGCTCCAGCCACAGCTCTGGTTTCTTCTGCCCCTCACACATCCAATGCTCACTCCCAGCCTTCACCCTGGAGGGCTCCTCTCCTGGAACATAGCCCTAGGCTTCTACACAAGTCACTCTCTCTCACTCAGAGCTCTGCTCAGTGTCACCCCCTAGAAAGATGTTACCCGCCCGTCCTATCTCCCGGGCCCTGTGCACCCTCCCTCCTCCACCCCGGGCCTGAATACCCTCTTCCCTGATTCTCTTTGCCATTCTCCCTTCTTTAAGTACCATGTTCCCAGGTTTACTTGCTTATGACAATAAGCTACACGGGGGCAGAGAAAAGGTACCTGTGGCTGGAGGGTAGAGGATGGGGAGAAGCGGGCAAGGAAGGGCAGGTCATAGAAGACCCCATTTAAGAGATGAACAAACCTCTCGTAATGATGGACCCTTTCCATTCAAGACTACGAAGTGACAGCGCTTTCATACTGAGCAATAACAACAGACATTACAGAAAATGAAAATCAACCAAGCACATTTAACCAACATACCCTTTTCCTGATTGCAGAGGCTGTTGGTGAAGATGGGAGAGTCAGGAACCTGGGGCAGGGAGGGGCAGGGGGCAGAGCTCCAGGACAGCAGGCTTCCCCTTGTGCTGCCAGCGTGGCTCCCGAGCCGTAAGAGCCAGTGATCAGACAGGGAGGAGCTGGTAGAGCCTGTGGAGGAAACACAGAGAGGGAGGCTGAGCCCAACCCCAGCACTTCAGAGTCCTAGCGGAGCATCTCACAACCAGATCCCCATTCCGGCCCCATCCTTCAGCCCCAGAACTACAGAACCAGAACAGAACTGCAGAAACCTGTCAACAAGGAGAGGGGAAACCTGTGATCGGGTTTCCCATGTGACTAAGCTTAAAAGTTTAGGGAGAGGCATTTGAGCACAAAAAGGAAAGCATGGGCTGGGCGCGGTGGCTCACGCCTGTAATGCCAGCACTTACGGAGGCCGAGGCGAGCAGATCACCTGAGGTCAGGAGTTCAAGACCAGCCTGACCAACGTGGTGAAATCCCATCTCTACTAAAAATACAAAAAATTAGCTGGGCGTGGTGGTGGGCGCCTGTAAATCCTAGTTACTCAGGAGGCTGAGGCAGGAGAATTGTGTGAACCTGGGAGGCGGAGGTTGCAGTGAGCCGAAATCGCGCTACTGTACTCCAGCCTGGGCAACAAGAGCGAAACTCCGTCTCAAAAAATAAAAAACAAAACAACAACAACAACAAAGGAAAGTATGTTGACAAGTTTTGAAATGCTTTCCATGAAATTACTTATCACCAGCTTTGGCATTCTAAATATGTTTTTTGTTTCTTTTTCCAGAGCCAAAGTACTGTATTACTCAGAGCTGTAGTCAGAGGCAGAGTAACAGTATTTTATTACCAGTACCAGGGCCCCAGCATGCACAGTTCAACAGGTAATAAGCCATGTTACAGGAGTTTATCCCAAGTTTAGGGAAACCAAATCTTTTACAGTGGGCATTAAGGATGCCTACACTTTGCACCATAAAGATACATTATCTTTATTATACTGGACAGTAAGAAAAACTTCTTTTCTCTAATAGGACAGGTTTTTCATTCTTTTTTCAACATCTTCTTCTATAAATGGAAGCTAGACTTATGTTAGGATTGGTTTAGACCTGCTGAGGACTCTTGGATTTATTTGGCCATTTTCTGATAACTGTTAGGAGAAAATCTGCTTAATTTTTTTTTTTAATGCTCTCTTGTCCCAAAGATAAGGACAGTTGGTTTGCAGCATGAAACAAATCACGTGAAAGGGTCAGCTTTGGCACTTTCTTTCTCTAGACTTCCAAGCAAGTTTGAGGCTAATAAATGAATTGCTTGAGTGCAGCAGTGTTTAAACAGCTACCTTAGAGAGGCTGAGATGGGTGGATCAAGAGGTCAAGAGATCGAGACCATCCTCCTGGCCAACATGGTGAAACCCCGTCTCTGCTAAAAATACAAAAATTAGCTGGGCATGGTGGTGGCACGTGCCTGTACTCCCAGCTACTCGGGAGGCTGAGGCAGGAGAATCGCTTGAACCCAAGAGGCAGAGGTTGCAGTGAGCCAAGATCATGCCACTGCACTCCAGCCTGGTGACAGAGCGAGACTCCATCTCAAAAAAAAAAAAAAAAAAAAAAAGCTACCTTTCCTAGAAAAGTCCTGCATCCTTTATAACTGCCCTGCCTTTCCAACAGGACTGACATCAGTTTACATTACATACACCTCAAAAAACCTGCTGTGATATGAGTGAGACTAGGAATATGGAATACCACACTGCCAAGCATCGCCTGCCCTGAATACAAACAATTATTCTTTTCCCCTTTCCTGAATTATAATCCATCCATCCCACACCCTGGTAAATGAGCAACCAGTCTATGCAGCTCAGGTTTCTACAGCAGCATCCCGGGCTTCCTCTTTCAGATCCTTGCCAACCTCTCCTGGTCCTCGATGTTCAACTGAGCCTCTTCCCAGTTCTTAAAGTGACTTCCCCACACCCCCCTCCTGTCATGAGCAGCAGCACCTACCTCTCATGGAGCTGCTGGCTGACCAGGGAGGGATGCTGTTCCGCTTCTGATAGAACAGGATATAAGCCCCTCTGGTGTTGACCTCATCTTCTCGAAGCGGTTCCACCGTGCTGTCATCATAACTGTACCACTGGCCATCCAGAGAGTTCCGGCAGTAGGCTGCAAAGGTCCCATCCCCAAGTCTGAGTTATTGGAGCCCCAAAAGGTAGGAAGACATTTCCCACTGGCATAGCTGAAAAAGCGGTATGTTTAAACCAGAATGAGAAAAAAACAGTCCATTTTTGGCCAGAAATGAATTTTTTTTGGAATCAGAAAAGATCAGTAAGTTATACCCTCGGATTCTTACTATAACAAGTGCTGTTATTATTTTTATTTATTTATTTATTTTTATTTATTTTTGAGACGGAGTTTCGCTCTGTCACCCAGGCTGGAGTGAAGTGGCGCGATCTCGGCTCACGGCAACCTCCACCCCCCGGGTTCCAGTGATTCTCCTGCCTCAGCCTCCTGGGTAGCTAGGATTACAGTTGCCTGCCACCACACCCGGCTAATATTTATATTTTTATTAGAGATGGGGTTTCACCATGTTGACCAGGCTGGTCTCGAACTCCTGACCTAAGATGATCCACCCACCTCGGCTTCCCAAAGTGCTGGGATTACAGGCCTGAGCCACCATGCCCGGCCAAGAGTGCTGTTATTTTAAGTTGAATATTCTACCCCTTCATCAGGCAAAATCTCAAATAAAAGGGAGCTCCCAAGTTAGGTAGCCAAACAATAATGTCAGCGTTCACCCCATTTCTTCTGAGAAGCTTCAAAATGCATATCTCTGATTAAGCATGCAATAAAAGTGAAGATGAGAATCACAATTGGGCTTATGGCATACCTCTTTCTAAGAACTGAAGTCAAACGTCTAAGGAAAATTCATAAATATTCTCACCATTTCTCAAGTAACGACAACAAAATATCCGTTTCCTTGCCCTCTACGTGTCAGCAAATGACAGCATAACCCAGTAATCTGGAAGTTTGCAAACTTTTCCCATAAGGGACCAGATGACAAATATTGAGACTTTGCAGGTCACATATGGCCACATATATTCTCTGTCGCATATTCTGCGTGTCTTTCTCCCACTTTTAAAATTGTAAAAACCATTTTTAACCCATAGATTATTAATAAACGGGGGAAAAAAAACAGGCCGGGCGTGGTGGTTCATGCCTTTAATCCCAGCACTTTGGGAGGCCGAGGTGGGCAAATCACGAGGTCAGGAGTTCGAGACCAACCTGGCCAACATGGTGAAACCCCGTCTCTATTAAAAATACAAAAAATTAGCTGGGCGTAGTGGTGCACGCCTGTAATCCCAGCTACTTGGGAGGCTGAGGCAGGATAATCGCTTGAACCCAGGAGGCAGAGGTTGCAGTGAGCCAGGATCACGCCACTGCACTCCAACCCGGGCAACACAGTGAGACTCCGTCTCAAAAAACAACAACAACAACAAAAAACAGGCCCTAGATTGGATCCGGCCCGTGGGCCACAGTTTGCTGACCTCCACACTAATCCAAGCCAGCCACCTAGGAGTTCATCTTTGCTCTTGCTTTTCCGTTCCGCCCCACACCTAATCCAAAAGCCAGACCTACTGATTCTACTTCCAAACTATGTCTCGAATATCTTGATTGTCAACACCAACATCTCAGCCAGTGGTGTCTCTCACTCGGCCCCTGAAGCACCCTCCTAACTGGAATTCCAGCTTCCACTCTAGATCCCTTCTACACATTCTCCATACAGCAGAGCAACTAGTTTGATTTGTACACTAGATTATGTCTTCACTCCTCTGCTTAGAACCTTTAAATGATTTATCACCCCTTTGGAAAAAATGCAAACTCCCATCCGTGGCCTAGAGTGTCCTGCCCACTTCTCCAGCCCCACCCTTCATCAATTACCCCTGAATGGCTACACTTCATCCAGGCTGTCATCATGTCTTAAACACACCGAATGCTTTCTGCCTCAGGGCCTTTGCACATGCTACGAGCTCTGCTCATAATGCAATTCATCCCATTATTCACATAGCTAGTTCTATCTCATCCTCAGCTCTGAGCCTACATGTGACATCCTTGCAGAGGCCTTATGTCTATCACAGACACAGTCAATCAGTCGCCCTTTCAAAATGTCAGGTAGTGAAAGTGCTAAAATGATAAGCACATTTTATTGTCTGTCTCCAAAGTGAGACTGAAGTCCCATGAGGGCAGGCCTTGTATTTGTCTTGTTCATCACTGAAGCTCCAGGACCTGGCATAGAACAGGTACTTAATATACATTTGTGCAATGAATTAATGAGCAAAGATCCTGGATTTCTATATAGTTTGGTGTCTTCCAAATTGCCAGTCATCAGCCCATCGGGACACTGGTAATCAGTGCATTAAAAAAAAATGTTTAATAAATAAAAAATGAAATATTTTAAAGCTTTTTTTTTTTTTTTTGAGACAGAGTCTCGGTCTGTCGCCCAGGCTGGAGTGCAGTGGCATGATCTCGGCTCACTGCAAGCTCCACCTCCCGGGTTCACGCCATTCTCCTGCCTCAGCCTCCCGAGTAGTTGGGACTACAGGCGCCTGCCACCACACCCGGCTAATTGTTTTGTATTTTTATTAGAGACGGGGTTTCACCATGTTAGCCAGGATGGTCTTGATCTCCTGACCTCGTGGTCCGCCCACCTCGGCCTCCCAAAGTGCTGGGATTACAGGCGTGAGCCACCGCGCCTGGCCAAAGCATTTTTAAAATTAAGTAATATGTTATTCTGGAATAGAATGGACCAAGGTATATCACATGTAGTAAATTTAATTATCGACTCATGAAATTCTGTTTAGTCTTAATCTATGTATGTACACATAAACACACATGTGCGCGTACGTAAATGGATGCGCACATCAGGAGGTCATGATGGAACCCAGTGTTTCATTTTGCCATTTAGTCAAGTGCCTCATCATCATATTTTATTTCATTTAACATCTTTTAAGTTTATTTTGATATGTAAAATGGCAAACAAAAATCCACTAAAAACAAAAAATACATCTATGGTATGATAGCATTTATGTAAAAGTATATGGCAGCTTGAAAGTTACCAATTGTTGGGGCCTACAATATGAGAAGCATCTTACATATGTTAGTTCTAGTCATAAAAATCCCAGGCTGGGCACGGAGACTCACGCCTGTAATCCCAGCACTTTGGGAGGCCGAGGCGGGCAGATCATGAGGTCAGGAGTTCAAGACCAGCCTGGCTAACACAGTGAAACCCCGTCTCTACTAAAAATACAAAAAATTAGCTGGGTGTGGTGGCACCCGCCTGTAGTCCCAGCTACTCAGGAGGCTGAGGCAGGAGAATCACTAGAACCCGGGAGGCAGAGGTTGCAGTGAGCCGATATCGTGCAATTGCACTCCAGCCTGGGACACAGAGCGAGACTCTGTCTCAAAAAAAAAAAAAAAAAAAAAAAAAAAAAATTAATATCTGATAGGGCAGATGGCATCTCAAGGAACAAGATTGGCTTTTCCATCAGTAGTGATCTCGGGACAAATTGGCAACTCCCGGAGGATAAAGTTGGATCTCTTTCTCTCAAGAAAATTAAGAAACTCCAAATCAAGGATTTAAATGTAATAAGCTAAAACCAAGTAGAAAACTCAAGAAAAACACTTTTTAATCTTAGAGTGAAAAAGGCTTTCTAATCATGACTCATAATCCAGAAGACTTAAAAGAAATGATTGATAATTTTACCTAGAAAAGCAAAAATAAAAACTTTCTGCATGGCAAAAATTTTCCACAGGAAGAGCCAACTGACAGATGTTACACAGGGAACACATACTTGCAATTTATATTACAGAAAAGAGGTGAATCTCATAGTACATTAAGAATTAGAGCATCTAGAAATTGATGGGAAAAAGACTAATAATTCATTTGAAAAACAGTCAAGGATATGGATAGACAGTTCACAGGAAAGGAACCATAGTGGCTCAAACATGCGAAAAGATGCTCAAGCTCACACTATTAAGAACCTAAATATTCAACTTACACTGAGATACCATTTTCCTACTATTAGATGGGCAAAAATCCAAAAGTGTGATCACACACTCTACTGGAGAGGCTATAGAGAACCAGGTGTTCTCTTGCTCTTAACAGAGTGCAAACTGCTATGACCCTTTGTGCAGGACATCTTGTTTGTGCTTATTACAACACAGACACAGCTATTCCAATTCTGAGAATTTATCCTGCCAATAAACTTCCATATGTAGAAAATGACATATCTAAAGGGTTATCACAGCAATATTTGTGTTTTTTTGTTTTTTGGGTTTTTTTTTTGCTGTTGTTGTTGTTTTTTTTTTTTGAGACAGAGTCTCACTCTCTCACCCAGGCTGGAGTGCAGTGGTGTGATCTCGGCTCACTGCAATCTCCACCTCTGGGTTCAAGCAGTTCTCCTGCCTCAGCCCCCCGAGTAGCTGGAACTACAGGCACACGCCACCACGCCTGGCTGATTTTTGTATTTTTAGTAGAGACAGGGTTTCACCATGTTGGCCAGGCTGGTCTTGAACTCCTAACCTCAAGTGATCTGCCTGCCTCAGCCTCCCAAAGTGCTGGGATTACAGGCGTGAGCCACCACGCCCGGCCGACAGCAACATTTGTAATAGTAAAAGAATGAGTCAGTCCAATGTCCATCTACAGAGTATTTAATAAATTGTTATATTTATTTAGTGCATTTACATTTATAAAAGAAGATGGAGAAGCTGTCTAGAAATGAGGACATGAAAAGATTTCCAAGACAGATTTTCAGAGAGAAAAAAAAAAAAAAGCCAGGTGCAACACAGTAAATAGTACTTTTACTTAAATTAGGGGGTGGGAAGGAAATATATAAAATCAACACATATATATGTATATAGAAAAATATACTCACAATTGCTTGTATTTACATAAAGAAATTGTGGAAGAATAGTACACAAGAAACTACTAAAAATGGTTACCTAGAAATGAGGAGGGGGTAGATGAGGAACAAACATAGAATCAAGACTTGTCACTGTCCATCTTTTTTAGGCCGTGTGAATTTTGAAATATAGGCATGCATTACCTATATTTAAAATGAAATTTTACCACATTACCACATTTAAAATGAAACAAAAGGCATTTGAGATTTCTAAAAATCTGAAATGTGGTAGAATTATCACACTTCCAAGAAGCAAATAACTAAAAAGGAACAAATATGTCAAAAGACGTGAGATAGAAAGCAACAGCTCAGCTTTGAGGGCCCAGCAAGCAGATGGAGTGGAGGTCACACACTCGCCTCTGCAAGGAAGGGGTTCAACACAGAGTGCCTGGGGGAGGTGGGGGGGTTGCAGGGGGTAGGAAGAGGGCCACCCACCAGCTACAGCCCCAGAGGCTCGGTACTGGGCGTGTCAGAAACCACAAGAAGCCAAGCCAGGTGAGGACCCAAAACAAAACCAGGATGCTCTGAAAAAGAAACCTAAGACTAGGCCAGGCGCAGTGGCTCACGCCTGTAATCCCAGCACTTTGGGAGGCCGAGGAAGGCAGATCATTTGAGGCCAGGAGTTCAAGACCAGCCTGTCCAACATGGTGAAACCCTGTCTCTACTAAAAAATACAAAAATTAGCCAGGCGTGGTGGCGAGCACCACCGTGGCCAGCCCTGAGTCCCAAGTACTCAGGAGGCTGGGGCAGGAGAATCACTTGAATCCAGGAGGCAGAGATTGCAGTGAGCCGAGATCACATCACTGCACTCTAGCCTGGGTGACAGAGCAAGATTCCATCTCACAAACAAAACAAAAAAAAGCACAAAGATATTTCCCAGACCTGAAGATCACGTCTGCAGACACACAGGTCCCCTAAATGCAGGTCCCAATACAAGCAATGAAAAAGACCTACAGGTAAGCACACTCTATGAAATTCCAGAGCACCTGTGAAAAAGAACCTGAAAGCTTCCAGAGAGAAAAATATATCCTATCCTAGACAAAGGAACAGAAATCAAACTGGCCTGACCCATTCTCAACAGCAAAACCCTACTCCAGACCCCATTCCACACGGAGCAACATTGCTGATTTTCAATCAAGGACTTTATGTCCCACCAGGCTATCAATCAGGTGTGGAAATAAAGGCATTTCCTGACACGTAAGCACTCCAAAGGTCAAGCTCCCATCACCCTTTCCTAGGAAGCCACTGAGGGTGAGCTTCACCTAAAGGAGGGAGTTGACACTCATCTACAATACCCTACATGGCTTGGGGACTTGTTCATATCAGGAATCACTCATCTCGGCAGGGCAGAAGCTACTGACCCTGGAGCCAGGGTGGCCCAGGTTTGAAGCCCAGACTCTGCCATTTAACTGGCAGTGCAAATTGTCTTCAGGGAAAAGATTGTGTATGTTGGCACCGATGACAGCAAGTGGCCCAGGTCTTACCCAGGGCTGTGTTGGCTGCACACACTGCCCTGCCTACCGCCTCGCCAGTCCCCTCTTTCCCTTGGGCTCCTCTCCCTTTGCTTTTAGTATTAAACAGGCTCTTTCCTGGCAGGTGGTGGCACACTGTGTGTGCAAACACTGACCCAGGAGATCTCTGCAAGGGGAACCTTCCAGGAACTGCGTCCCTTCTGCTGCCATACCACCACCCCCAAAATCGGGCATTCTGCTCTTTAATGTTCACCCCAGGAGGGGTCTGGATCTCGCTTTTGATAAGGCAGATGCCAACGCTTCTCACGCCTATGCTACTTCTAACTCCCTGCTGTGGTTTTACATCACTGCCCTTAATTTATGTGGGGCCACCCTGTGAGTTTATAGATGGGGAGGCAGCACGTTCAGCATGGGAAATGACAAGGCCCAGGTTCCAGCTGTCCTTATTTTCACCACTCATGTGTGCACGGGGACTCATTCAGCCATAACGCTCTTAGTAAAAAAAAAAAAAAATCTGAGTAACAAAGATGCCTCCCAATATATATATGGGCCTCAAGGGATTCCTGCTGAGCTATTTTCGGCCCAGAGAAGTGAGACAGGGGAAGTGGCTGGACAGAATGGTCCCAGCAGTTACAAAGGTGGCAAGCCCTCATCTGGAGCAGGACAGCTGTGGAAGAACAGGCTGGCACCGCACAGCAGCATAAGGCGGCCACTGTCAGCTGAAAGCGGCTTTGGTGGCTCCCATAACCTTCACCATGACCAGCCTAGGCTGGCCCACCATCCAGCGCATCTCTGTCCACTCAGGTGGTCCCCAGCCTGTAACTGCATCCTCATTTCTCTTTCTCTATGGGGGCCTGTTCCATCCATTCTCCGATGGCGGAAATCATGCCCTAAACCCCCTGGACTCCTAAGGCTCACCCCGATGACCCTCCACACTATCTGCACGGTGGAGACACTCAATTGCCGCAGCTACCAATAGGCTTCTCACCGTCACTGAGAGGCCCTGGTGGGGGAGAAGCAAACAATGACATAATCGAGAAAAATCATCCCTCATGACACTCTCTGAAAACACTCAAAGGGATGATTATGAACGATTGAGAAAATCTGGCCATTTGTTTATGCCCTTCCCTTCATCCACTGCTCTGAAATTCCCCAGAGGAATAAACATGAAAAGTACCCCATAGAATAAAAGGATACCAAATCCGATAAGTAAGATTCCTCACGCTGAATCACAGATGAGAATGAATGTCACTCTCTTGGTTCCAATAATGACCTCCCATATTTAATATGGTTGAAAATTTGGGCAGTAACTAACCTCTGTTTGTTGGTTTATTTGTTTTGGAGACACGGTCTCGCTCTGTTGCCCAGGCTGGAGTACAGTGGTGCAATCATGGTTCACCACGGCCTCAGCCTCCTATCTCAGCCTCCTGAGCAACTAGGACTACAAGTGTAAGCCACAATGCCTAGCTCATTTTTTTTTTTCATTTTTTTTGTAGAGACGGGGGTCTCACTTTGTTGCCTAGGCTGGTCTTGAACCCCTGGCCTCAAGTGATTCTTCCACCTCAGCCTCCCAAAGTGCTGGGATTACAGGCATGAGCTACTGCATCAGGCCTAACTTTACATATTCCAACCTCCAACCTAACTCAATGTCAACTCTATAGCTGGGACAAGGTCCCTTCTGCTCTCGCACATGGTGCGAGACAGCCACACTACCGTGCCCTGCCTATGGGTTCCTGGAGAGCTGCAGGCATCCTTCTGACTCAGCACTATATTTTACTGGAATTCTCTCTCCCCCACCAGCTCCTACAGGGCAGGTCCTTGGCTTATTCATCTTTGTTTTCCTCATCCTCATCTTCCTGGTGTGCGGTGGGTGAGGGGTCGGATCTCAATAAGTGCCCCAGGGAGCTCAGCATCTGAGCAACACCCATTCCAGGGACATCTCGAGGCTGTGGCCACAGCTGCATTTGCAGAAAGGCAAGGCAAGGCTCACCTGTGTAATGCCCACCTTGCAGGTTGCCATGGTGGTTGCAGACGGCATACAGGTCGTACAGGAAGTCCAGCGGGTAACTGGTGGGCAGGCAGTCCGGCTGCTTCCAGGAAGGCCAGGGGCCCAGTCCTGCCTCAGGGCTGGTGCTTCTCTGGGCCACATGGGGAGCCATGTTGAGTCCAGAGAGCGGAAACTTCACCAGCGTGGAGAGCTTGTTTCTTCTCTCGCCCACCTGGCAGAACCTTTTGAGGTGGATGATGAGGATGTCAGGCAGCGTCCACAAACTCAGCTTCACCATCCCCTGCTGCAGGACTTGGCAGTGAGGACACTTCCAGGCGTCATCCTGGGCCAGCTGGAAAGCAAACCACCCGGACTGTGAGGCCCCCGCAGCACGTGGCCAACCCACCAAAGGCAGCCAGCCCCCTTCCCGGCCGGGGCATGGACCCCCAGGGCGGGACCTGCTCCTCCTTGGTGTAGAACTGAAAACATTCATCCAAGGTACAGCTGTGCTGCTGATGCGCCTGCTGCTGCTGCCACACACTGTCGGCATCCTGCGCTCGCTCCTCCTGGAGGCTCCCGAACAGGCTGCACGGAGAGGACACCCACGGCGTTCAGGACTTTCCTGCTCCCAGACAGGTTTCGTCTATGTCTCTACTCACAGCAAACCCGTCAGCAGACATTGGCCAGGCCACACTACCGTGCCCTGCCTATGGGTTCCTGGAGAGCTGCAGGCATCCTTCTGACTCAGCACTATATTTTACTGGAATTCTCTCTCCCCCACCAGCTCCTACAGGGCAGGTCCTTGGCTTATTCATCTTTGTTTTCCTCATCCTAGCACAGGGCCTGGCACCTAGAAGTTGATCAATAAATACTTGCTGGACTGAACGACATCCTTTCTTAAAGTAAGGCTGATGCCCTCAGTGTTACAGAGGTAGCCAAGTATGGTGATGAGGAGCATGGACTCCAGTCAGAGGGTCTGGGTTCAAATCCCAGCTCTGCCAATGTACAAGCTGTGTGCCCTCCAGCAACTGCTTACCCTCTCTGTGCCTCAGTTTCCACCTCTGAGAAATGTGGATTACAGGAGTATCCACCCCAGACCACCCACACATAGGGTGTGATTAAGATTAAATAAATCCCCTATACACACATGAAGTGTGCAGAGCAGTGACTGGCATGGGGTGAGTGGGTGGGTGCTACGTAACTGTCTACTATGACTGCAGTTACTACTTCTGACATCACCCACCACCACCACCATCACTCCATTCCTCCATTCCTGTCACTGTTATTTACATACAGAAAATTCTCACTCAGGCATCTCACAGGAACGGGTTACACTGGCTCAAAGATGTGTGCACCCTGCCTGCAGCCGTGCTGGGGGAAGCTGCGTCCAGGGAAACCTGGGCACACACAGGCCCTGTCTCAGCTCTGCAGGTGGCAAATTCCCTTGAACTCACCGCTCCTTGACAGAGCTATCCCACTCCACCGCCAGCTTGACATGTGGAGGGCCTCCTGGCCTCCTGAGATGCAAAACCCTGAGAAGAGAACAAGGGAGCCCATCAGAAAACACGGGGCCTCCTTCCCACAGCTCTTCAGGGCTCAGCAGTCTCCCCCACAACCCAAGGACTGATGTTCCAAACAGAAATACCCAAAACTGCCAGTAAGCCAAGGTCAGCTATCCTCGGAGGCTGCTAAGTCTGCTGAAGGCTCCGTCTCAGAACTTCAGACCAACCTCACAGTGCCTCCCCTCATTCCCATGGGAGCTTGTGAGCTCTGTAGATTTGGGGTTACTTTGAGGAAATAGATCAGCTGTTCCACTGCAGCCCCAGCTACCTTCTCAATGTCTATAGGGCACTTCCACTTGACCATCCTACACAAATACCCAATACTGATGATGCCCAAAGAGAGCTGCTACCTTTCCCCCAACTGCAATGCAGAAGGAGCACCTTTAAGCCCCCCTCCACAACCTAAGAAGTCTTCTCCTTCCACACCCTCCAGTGCATAGAAAATCCCAGTGCCTGTCAACCTGTAGCTCTTTCCAACTACTTGGGCCCAGCCCATTTCAGAAACGGTGGATCAGCCTCAATACAGAAGAGATGGGAAGAGAGCAAAGTGGAGCACATGAGGTTTTATCCTGAAATCAATAGGAACAGATACAAGTGATGGCAACGTCCACACCCAAAGGAGTGTTTCAAATGTGTTGCAAGAAAAGGGGGGATGTCAGATGAGTCCCAAACTACCACTAAGATGATCTGATAAAAGGTTTTGAGCTCATGGAAGGCACAAAGTCCTGTGGCTGAGCATGGACAGGTCTGAGCTGGAGTTGTGGCACCTTCCTGCGTGAGCCAGGAGGGAGTGAGGAACAAGGCGTGTCTGGGAGAAGTTCTCCCAGCCCAGGGAGCCCTGATGCATTGGGAAAAACACTGATTGCTCCCTCAATTTCCTGTAGACGGGGAGAACCATGCTGCCTCCTCATCCTCACTCCTTCCAAAGGAGGAGAAGCACCTTATCTGATTGGTGGGATTGTAGAAGAAGGTGGGCTCTACGTCCTGTCATTAGGCCTACCTATGTCCTACAAGCTAGCCACCTGCCATTCTCCCCCACCCATGCCTTGCGTTTCCTGGAAGCAGCTCTGCCTTGCAGGTGGAAGACTGGAAGTATGTGACAAATATTCCATTCTGAGGAGACAGACTGAGGACCCCTAGATCTAAGCTTCTTTCTTTAGGTCCCCCAAATTCTCCATTTCCACAATGAGGGAGACCTGCCATTGGGGAGATCTGCCTTGGCAGAGGTCTGCGGGTACGTAATTTAATTCTGGGGAAACACATTTGAAAGCCCAAATTGGACTCACATCTAAGCTGCATCCTTAATCAGTCTTATGAATAAACCTAAAATTTACATCTCTTTCTGCCTCAATCCACAGTCTACTTTTCAACTGGAATTTAAACATGGGAGTGGAAAATGAAAACTGGTACCTTCATGCTCCAAGTTTATTGTACAAAACTCCTTAGGTCCCAGAAAGAAAGAGGTGTGGCTGTCACCCAACTTCCTTCTTTACATGGAAATCAGATTGTCACTAGAGGGTGAGATTATCTGCCCAGACCACAGCTCTGATACAAAAAGAAAGAGGGCCTTATTCAATGTGTATGGAGCGATGCTACTCCAAGAAATGTATATACCTAACAATCCCCACCCTTAAGGGACTGATAGGCTAATGGGAGGAGCATACAAAGAGATCATTCTGATGCACTCAGGTGTCTGGGGACACACACCCCAGGATGCTCTGGAGGACAGATGGGGCAGGACTTGGCCAGAGGAATGACTGAGACCTCGAAAGCAAATGCAACATAAACAAACATTGAAAAATGGGACTTAATTAAACTAAAGAGGTCTGCACAGCAAAAGAAGCTATCAACAGAATAAAGAGGCAGCCTACAGGATGGGAGAAAATTTTTGCAAACTATGCATCTGACAAAGGACTAATATCCAGAATATATAAGGAACTTAAGTCAACAAAAACAAATAATCCTATTAAAAAGTGGGCAAAGGACATGAAAGACATCTCTCCAAAGAAGACATATAAGTGGCCAACAAACATATTAAAAGCTGCTCAACAGCACTAATCATCAAGGAAATGCAAATTAAAGCCACAGTGAAATACCATCTCACATCAGCAGATGGCTATTATTAGAAGGTCAGAAAATAACAGATATTGGCAAGGATGAAGAGAAAAGAGAATGCTTAGACACTGTTGGTTGGAATGTAAATTAGTTCAACTCCTATGGAAAAAAGTATGATGATTTCTCAAAGAACTAAAAATAGAACTACCATTCAACTCAGCAATTCTGCTCCTGGGTATCAACCCAAAGGAAAATAAATCATTGTATCAAAAAGACACCTGCACTCACACGTTTGTCACATCACTAGTCATAATAGTAAGGCCATGGAGTCAACCCGGGTATCCATCAATGGTGGATTGGATAAAGAAAATGTGGTACATGTACACCACAGAACACTACACAGCCAAAAAAAAAAAAAAAGAATTCCTGTTTCTTTGCAGCAACATGGATGAAAATGGAGGCCATTATCCTAAGTGAATGAATGCAGAAACAGAAAATCAAATACCACATGTCCTCATTTATAAGTGAGAGCTAAACCGTGGGTACACATGGACATAAAGATGGGAACAATAGATATTGAGCACTGCAAAATGGGGGAGGGAAGAAGGGAGAGAGGGTTGAAAAGCTACTTATTGAGTACTATGCTCACTATTTGAGTGATGGGTTATATAGAAATGCAAACTCCAGTGTTACATGATATATCCATGTAAAAACCTGCACTCGTACCCATGAATCTTAAAAAAAAAAATTATATAAGTGAGAAGACAACATTCACCCAAGAAAGTTATAGAAATAAAAATAAATGAATAATAAACAAAACTTTAAGAAATTTTTATCTTTTTTATTTTATTTATTTATTTATTTATTTTTGAGACAGAGTCTCGCTCTGTTGCCCAGGCTGGAGTGCAGTGGAACAATCTCGGCTCACTGCAAGCTCCGCATCCTGGGTTCAAGCGATTCTCCTGCCTCAGCCTCCCAAGTAGCTGGGATTACAGGTGTGTGCCACCATGCCTGGCTAATTTTTGTATTTTCAGTAGAAATGCGGTTTCACCATGTTGGCCAGGCTGGGCCTGAACTTCTGGCCTCAAGTGATCCACCCGCCTTGGCCTCCCCAAGTGCTGGGATTATAGGCGTGAGCCACCGTGCCTGGCCCAAAAATTTAATGAATTTCTTAAAAAAGTCAGCCAGGGGAACCAGAGGGGAAAGGGACACACAGGTGGAGGGCTCACCAGTAGAGGGCAGGATGTGTGCCCTCTAATGGAAAGTCCCAGCACAGTGAGGGACGGGCCACATGGGAGAGGCAGGGCCTTGTAGGCCACCTTCACAAGTGTGGACTTTATCCCGTGGGCACTGGGAGGCCACCGAGTGGTTTATAACACGTAGATTAGAAGGGGTCAGGGATGATGCCAGGTTCCTAGCTTGAGGTCCTGAGTAGATGGTGGTGTCACCATTTAAACACAAAGATGGGAAATGGAAAGCTTTAAGCAAGAAGAGTTCAGACTGGCAAGTGTTTAGTTACCAGTGTCTATGAGGCATTTAAGTAGGACAGGCAGGTCTGCAATCCAGAGAAAAATCTGGGCAGGAGATATGGATCTAGGAGACTTTGGCCTAAAGGCAGTAGACAGAACCAAGAGTAGGATCACCCAGGGATGGGGCCAGGCATGGTGGCTCACGACTGTAATCCCAGCACTTTGGGAGGCAGAGGCAGGCGGATTGCCTGAGCTCAGGAGTTCACAACCAGCCTGGGCAACACGGTGAAACCCCGTTTATACTAAAATACAAGAAATTAGCCAGGGGTGGCAGTGTGCACCTGTAGTCCCAGCTGCTCGGGAGGCTGAGGCAGGAGAATTTCTTGAATCCAGGAGGCGGGGGTTGCAGTGAGCCGAGATTGTGCCACTGCACTCCAGCCTGGGCGACAGAGTGAGACTCTGTCTAAAAAACAAACAAAACAAAACATAAAAAACACCCATAAATGGAACCCAGAGGGCCAGGGGTAGAATGCTGAGACCCAATAATATTTGAGCATCCCAGAGAGGGAGAGGAAGATTTCAAGCAGACAAAAAAAATTCTAGGAGATATATTTCTAGGTGGTGTATACATACAATGGAATATTATTCAGCCTTCAAAAGGAAGGAAATTCTAATGCGTGCTACAACATGGGTGAACCTTCAAAACATGGTGGTTAGTGAATTAAGCCAAACACAAAAGGATAAACACTATGATTCCTGTTACCTGAGGCATCTACAGTTGTCAAATTCACAGTGACAGACAGTGGAGTGGTGGTTTCCAGAGACTGAGGAAGAGGAAGGGGAGGGATATTGTGTGATGGGTACAGAGTTTCCATTTTGCAAGATGAAAGATTTTTGGAGATGGATGGTGGCAATGGATGTATAACAAGGTAAATGTAACAATCCCACTGAACTGTACACTTTCAAGTGGTTAAAATGTAATTTTGGCCCTAAGTGGTGGCTCATGCCTGTAATCCCAGCACTTTGGGAGGCTGAGGTGGGTGGATCACGAGCTCAGGAGATCAAGCCCATCCTGGCTACCATGGTGAAACCCTGTCTCTACTAAAAATACAAAAAATTAGCTGGGCCTGGTGGCACGCACCTGTAGTACCATATACTTGGAAGGCTGAGGCAGGAGAATTGCTTGAACCCAGGAGGCGGAGGTTGCAGTGAGCCAAGATTACACCATTGCACTCCAGCCTAGGTAACAGAGTGAGACTCCATCTCAAAAAAAAAGTAATTTTATGTTCTATGTATTTTACCAAAAAGAAAAAAAAGAATTTCCTATAGAACAAGGAGATGTTGGGATAGGCATGGAAGAGGCAGGGCAAGGGCTAAATAGAGAGCCCTGTGAAAGAGGTAAGGTCACATTAGATGCCAGAGAGAGCTGTACCAGCAGGGCTGGGACTGGGATTGTGGGGTGGGGTGGGGATGGGAGTGGGGTGAACAGGGGCCAGACTGAGGTAAGATGTCCAGTGAATGGAAGGTGCGGGCCAGGAGGGGTGTGACCTCAAGAGAATATCCTTTAGGATGGTCAGCTTACTGTAGAACTCTACTCAATTCTAGCGCTTCTCAAACTACCTATGGTAAAAGACCAGTTTGATGGTTTGTTTCCAAACCACTGCAGACCAACACTTTTATAAAAAGAAATAATAGGCCGGGTGCGGTGGCTCACACCTGTAATCCCACCACTTTGGGAGGCAGAGGCAGGTGGATCACTTGAGGTCAGGAGTTCGAGACCAGCCTGACCAACATGATGAAACCCTGTCTATACTAAAAATACAAAAATTAGCCAGGCGTGATGGCGTGTGCCTATAATCCCAGCTACTGGGGAGGCTGAGGCAGGAAAATCGCTCGAACCCAGAAAGGCGGAGGGTGCAGGGAGCCGAGATGGCGCCACTGCACTTGAGCCTGGAAGACAAAGCGAGACTCCATCTCAAAAATGAATAAATAAATAAATAAATAATAAATAATAAAAAAGTAATGGGGGGTGAGGAAAGACATATAAAATAAAAGTTCCATTTTTAAAAGAAATTATCATATCCATCATATTATAGATTGCTCTGTCATATTGCTTTAACATTCGTAAGTGCTTCCTCTCAAGTTCTTGTCACGGGCTGGTGACAATTAGCTCACAGGCTGGCAGTCTACAGAACCACTTTGGGTTATCTCCAAGACTGAGTGTGGGAAGGGGCTTCCTCTCCCTGGGAGACCCAAACAGGCCCTTGATGACCCTTCTCCTGCCTTCCTAACTCTGTAAAGCAAAAGCATCTGCCAGCCAAGGAGGATATGGATGGGGTGTAGGTCACAGAACCTTCTGGCTCACCTGCTACCCTGGTTCCTGGTCTCTTTACAAGGGGAAAGGCCCATCTCAGTCAGGTTGAATTTGGCTGACCAAGTCAGGAAATCAGAGGACCTTACTGAGAACCTGGGGGTCTATGGGAAAATAAAGAGAAGTGCCAGACAGTTCGTTTATAGAGTAGAACTGCCCCATAGATGTTGCAATGACCTGGGGATTGCTTTGCAAGGGCACACGCACCAGAAGGCTATCAAGGTAGCTACCAGAGACACAGCCACACTGGCTTTAAGCCTCAGGCACACTCCACAATCTCTTACAGTTTAGGACCAATGAATCAGCTGTAGAATCTTCACATACCCTAGGGAGATATTCCTGTTGAATTCAGGAGCATGACCTAATTGAAAGAATTTCGTGTTTTGGTTTGTTTTTGTTTTTGTTTTTTGAGATGGAGTCTTGCTCTGTCACCCAGGCTAGAGTGCAGTGGCGCGATCTCGGCTCACGGCAACCTCCATCTCCCTGGTTCAAGCAATTCCCCTGCCTCAGCCTCCTGAGTAGCTAGGATTATAGGCGCGTGCTACCACGACCGGCTAATTTTTTTGTATTTTTAGTAGAGATGGGGTTTCACCATGTTGGCCAGACTGGTCTCAAAATCCTGACCCCAGGCAATCCACCCACCTCAGCCTCCAAAAGTGCTGGGATTACAGGCGTGAACCACCATGCCTGGCTGAATTTGGGTTTTAGTTAGATCAATCTGGGTTCAAATTTAGGCTTGCCTATTAACTAGCTTTTTAAGTGTGATCAAGTTAACTAACCTCTGAGAACGTTGGTGTCCCCCCCATCTTTGAAGCGGACATAATAGTGCCTCTCCAGACATACGGGTTCAAAGCACAGAACATGCCCAATGACCTAACATAGCGGCTGGTACTGGAGAGGTAAGTGATCAAGAATAACAAATACTATGAGCAATCTCATTGACATATACCCTCAAAGGACTCTGGTAAAATAAGAAAGGGTTCATTAGCTGACTGAACCTGGACCTTCCCCCTTACCTGTCAACTGCCCAGTGACAGAGGGGCCGACTGTCCTTCGGAGACAAATAGCTGCAGGCCACAGAGAGTCCCACAACACGGATGGAGAACAGAGACCCCAGGTTCTGCGAAGACAAAAACAGACATGGATCATTACGTAGCCCCTATATTGATTTAAATTAGACTCTAAAGGGGCGCATACATTAAAAAATATAATCATTATTTTCCATAGTGTATTTTGAATATTCCCGTAATAATTAGAATTCAAAATTAAGAGACAAAAACTTCATTTTTTTCAGATTCACACTATACCCTGTAATGCAGTGATCTAATACTGTGTTTAATATGTTACATCTTCCCCCCAAAAATGAACACAGTGTGTTTAAATAGTAAATGCTTAACTGGAGCAGATACTGGTACATGTAATGGAACATAAATCAATCATGTTAATTAATTTTTAATAGGTAACTTAACCTACTTTATTAAGATGATTATCATCCCCACAATGAGGCAATTTTCTAAAAGCCAGTTCATGTATATTTTACAGACAAAGTAAATATTTATACATTTTAAAATAAGCCACATAAAGAGATAGCACCTTAGTTATTATTCTAAGATATGTGTTTATTATATTTTAACTTTTCTGAAATTGAAATGAGGCTTACAATGACATATTTAACGGAAGATGCCTCTTAAAAATTCAATGGAATGAACAACTCAATTAAAAAATGGGCAAACATTTGTGCAGATATTTCTCCAAAGATGTACAGATGGCCAAGAAGCCCATGAAAAGATCAGCAACATCATTAGTCATTAGAGAAATGCAAATCAAGACAACGCTGAGGTACCACTTCACACCCACTGGGATGGCTATAATTAAATTTTTTTTTGAGACGACAAAGTCTCACTCTGTCGCCCAGGCTGGAGTGCAGTGCCACAATCTCAGCTCACTACAACCTCTGCCTCCTGAGTTCAGGTGATTCTCCTGCCTCAGCCTCCTGAGTAGCTGGAATTACAGGTGCCTGCCACCACACCTGGCTAATTTTTGTATTTTTAGTAGAGATGGGGTTTCACCATGTTGGCCAGGCTGCTCTTGAACTCCTGACCTCACGCGATCCGCCCACCTCGGCCTCCCAAAATGCTGGGATTACAGGCATGAGCCACCACGTCCAGCCTACAATTAAATTTGTTTTAATTTTCTTTTTTTTTCGAGATGGAGTCTCGCTCTGTCGCCCAGGCTGGAGTGCAGTTGTGTGATCTCAGCTCACTGCAAGCTCTGCCTCCCGGGTTCTTGCCATTCTCTGCCTCGGCCTCCTGAGTAGCTGGGACTACGGGCGCCCGCCACCACACCCGGCTAATTTTTTTTGTATTTTTAGTAAAGACGGGGTTTCACCATGTTAGCCAGGATGGTCTCGATCTCCTGACCTCATCCGCCTTGGCCTCCCAAAGTGCTGGGATTACAGGCATGAGCCACCGCACCTGGCCTAATTTTTTTTTTAATGGAAAATAACAAGCATTGGCAAGAATTTGGAGAAACTGGAACCCTTATGCATTGCTGGTGGGAACATAAAATGGATGGTACAGCTGCTGTAGAAAACAGTTCAGCAGTTTCTCAAAAGGTTAAATGTTGAACTACCATATAACCTTTAATTCTCTTAGGTGTATATCTAAGAGTCGCAAGGAGGGGCTTGAACAGATATTTATACACCAATGTTCACGGCAGCATGATTCACAAGTCAAAAGAAAGAAACAACCTGAGTGTCCACCAACAATGGATAAACAAAATGTGGGATATATACACAACAGAATATTATTTAGCCTTAAAAATGAAGGCAGCCCAGCGCGGTGGCTCACGCCTGTAATCCCAGCACTCTGGGAGGCTGAGGCAGATGGATCACCTGAGGTCAGGAGTTCGAGATCAGCCTGACCAACATGGAGAAGCTACATCTCTACTAAAAATACAAAAAAAAATAGCCAGGTGTGGTGGCGGGTGCCTGTAATCCCAGCTACTCAGGAGGCTGAGGCAGGAGAATCAGTTGAATCTGGGAGGTGGAGGTTGCAGTGAGCTGAGATCACGCCATTGCACTCCAGCCTGAGCAACAAGAGTGAAGCTCCATCTCAAAAAAAAAGAAAAAAAAAAAAATGAAGGAAATTCTGAGATATGCTACAACACAGATGACCCTTGAAAACATGACATTTAGTGAAATAAGCCAGATGTAAAAAGATAAATATTATATTATTCTAGTTATATAAGGTACCTAAAACAGGAAAATTCATACAGATAGAAAGTAGAATGGTAGCTACAAGGAGCTAGGCAGAGGAGAAAACGTGGAATTGTTGTTTAATAGGTATAGTTTGTTTGTTTGTTTGAGACAGTCTTGCTCTGTCACCCAGGCTGGAATGCAGTGGTGCGATCTCGGCTCACTACAAACTCCTCCTCTCCAGTTCAAGTGATTCCCTTGCCTCAGCCTCCCGAGTAGCTGGGATTACAGGCACCTGCCACCACACCTGGCTAATTTTTGTATTTTTAGTAAAGATGGGGTTTCACCATGTTGGCCAGGTTGGTCTTGAGCTCCTGACCTCAGGTGATCCACCTGCCTCGGCCTCCCAAAGTGCTGGGAGTACAGGCGTGAGCCACCACGTCTGGCAACATTTTAGTTTTTTAATAGGTATAAGGTTTTTGTTTTAATCAGTATAATGTTTAATAAAGTTTTTGTTGATGATGAAAAAATCGGGAGTATACATAGTAGTGATGGTGATACAACATTGTAAATGTAATTAATATACACTTATGAGTGGTTAAAATAAATAAATGTATATATCTTTTACCAAAATTTTTTAAAAAATCAACGGGGTCTTCATTCAAATAAAAGAAATAGGTGCTTAAATTTGTCACTGATGATCTTGACAACCAGAAATAAAATAAAATTTTCTTCCAAACTCTGACAAAGGTAAAAGGCAGACATGTTTTCTTAAAAACCATGGAGGAAACCTAGGTTGAATTATGAGAGGAAAACAAGAGAAAAGCATCATAATTCCAGGAAAGAGGAATGACACATGGTAGGACAGAATGACCCGAAACAGATGCAGAGAGTTGTGAGCCGACCCCTTTGGCTGTGGGAGCTGACGTGTGCAGGGAGCATCGGCCACAAGGCTGGTGGGTAAACTGGAACTGGGCTGCAGGGGGTCTTGAGTGTGAAGGGCAGGGAGCTCATACGTCTAGCCAGACTCTAACCACGTTCCAGTTCGTCTACGGCTTCAACAAAGACGAAATCAACGTCTGGAAGTAAGATGACTTCAGGGGCTTTGATTGAGGGTTGGCCACGGAAGGGTATTCTCCCTAAGGAGAATGTTAATTTAAATCTGGGGGAGAAGACTCTTTTTCCTCCGCCCCTAATGGAGCCTTGTTGTTTGGACAGCAAAAGTCAGCCATCATTACGGCACCAACATCTGCACAGAGGCAGCCTACTCTGCCTGCACACAAATAGTGCTGGCCTCACACACCCCCGTTTACAAAATACCATAAAAGTGTTTGGGTAGCCAGGCATGGTGGCTCATGCCTGTAATCCCAGCACTTCGGGAGGCCAATGTGGGAGGACTTCTTGAGGCCAGGAGTTCAAGACCAACCTGGGCAACACAGTGAGACCCTATCACTGCAAAAAAATTAAAATAATTAACCAGGCATGATGGCAGGTGCTTGTAGTCCCAGCTACTTGCAAGGATGAGGTGGGAGGATCACTTGAGCCCAGGAGTTCAAGGCTGCAGTGAGCTATGATCACACCACCACACTCCAGCCTGGCCAACAGAGTGGGACTCTATCTCTTTAAAAAAAAAAAAAATTGGCATTGATAGCTTTTATTTTTTTCATAATACATGCAAATTAATCCTATCCAGTAAACTGGTCATTTTTGTAAGAAACTTTCCTGTTCTCAATTCTTGGCTAGGGAAGTTCATGTCCAAACCTTCAATACAATATGTTTAATCTCTTCAGTTCAATGTTGAGACTCCTGAATATATTCTCTTCAAATGACTATATTTGAACCAGTATTTAATATAGTATTAAAAGAATTATGGGTTAAATGGGTTGGCTAGCCTGGAAGCCTCACAACCATCTAGAACACATTACTCCTACAGAAAAGCATGTCTGACCATACATTCACCCGTGAATCTGTGAAAAAGCATCTGTGGCTGAGTCAAAGGTTGCCCGTATTAGTATTTTGCTGGCCCCATTGATTGCTTGATCCATTTCTAAAATTGAAATTGGGCTGGGCACAGTGGCTCACACCTGTAATCCCAACACTTTGGGAGGCTGAGGCAGATGGATCAACTGAGCCCGGGAGTTCAAGATCACTCTAGGCAAAATGGTGAAACTGTCTCTAACAAACAAACAAAAAAAAGTTAGCTGGGTACGGTACCATACACCTGCAGTCCCAGCTACTCAGGAGGCGGAGGCAGGAGGATCACTTGAGCCTGGGAGGTCAAAGATGCAGTGAGCCATTACCGCACCACGGCACTCCAGCCTGGGTGTCAGAGTGAGACCCTGCCTCAAAAATAAAATAAAGCTAAAATGACTGCAAAGGTATGGAGGCAAAAGTACAGGTGTGGCTGGGTGTGGTGGCTCACGCCTGTAATCCCAGCACTTTGGGAGGTTGAAGTGGGAGGATCATGAGGCCAAGAGATTGAGACCATCCTGGCCAACATGGTGAAACCCCGTGTCTACTAAATATACAAAAATTAGCTGGGTGTGGTGGCGCTTGCCTGTAGTCCTAGCTACTTGGGAGGCTGAGGCAGGAGAATCGCTTGAACCTGGGAGGCGGAGGTTGCAGTAAGCCGAGATCACGCCACTGCACTCCAGCCTGGTGACAGAGCGAGACTCCATCTCAAAAAAAAAAAACAGGACAGGAGTGTGAGCAGGTAAGAGTAAGGATGGCTGAGTTAAATGCTCACATGAAATTAGTTTCATCTGGCCGGGCACGGTGGCTCACACCTGTAATCCCAGCACTCTGGGAGGCCGAGGCCAGTGGATCACGAGGTCAAGAGATCGAGACCATCCTGGCTAACACAGTGAAACCCCGTCTCTACTAAAAAATACAAAAAAGTTAGCTGGGCGTGGTGGCGGGCGCCTGTAGTCCCAGCTACTTGGGAGGCTGAGGCAGAAGAATGGCGTGAACCCGGGAGGCGGAGCTTGCAGTGAGCCGAGATCACGCCACTGCACTCCAGCCTGGGCGACAGAGTGAGACTCCGTCTCAAAAAACAAACAAACAAACAAAAAAAGCATAGTTTCATCCATTGCGATAATCAGTAGCTCAAGGTTTGGGAGAAGGCAAAACTCTCACCGGATAGACTGACCTACTTGCAGAGGAGTTTCTAATTTGGGCACTTTGGTGGATCTGATCTACAGTACATTGAACAAAATCCTTTAGAGATAAAAGTTGGGACAAATGTAGTGAAGGTTTTTAACAAAATGTTATTTGGTATAAATCCTAAATCAAACATATGGTTTTTGCTGAGCAGGAAGGAACATGAATTATGAGGAATTATCTCTGAGATAAGATCTGTGTGTGCCCCAAATAAAAAGCTTTTACTATGGGAATAGTTAGGGGACAATAGGAATCTGACACAACTGACCTGTCCCTAAAAATTTCAACATCTTCTGTGTCAAGCAACCATCAGAATAGTTTCTGATATTATAGGAGCTAAAAACAAAAAATCAATAGTTTTTAAACATGCTGTTTTTGTTTGGAAACTACCAATCTGAGAATAAATAAATAAGGCAAATGTTTTCCTTTGAGTTATCTTAGTTTTTAAAAAACTGGACAAACTTATTTTAACATTTAGATTTTCATATTTGGACATAATCATCCATTTTAATTTTCCCAGAAATTCTATCTCAAGTCCCTTGAAATTGTTGATTTAAACATAAAAGTTACAATTTATTATAATATGCTATCTTCTAGGAAAAACTATGGTAAGCCATAAACATACAAAATTGGGAATAATAATGTAAATGCTTAGGGAATGATGGAAAATGTGAAAAAAAAAATTTCGTTTTAATGTAAATGCCATTTTCCCAATGGTGTTTTGAAAGATTTAATAAGAAAAAGCTCTGCCCATGAAAGGTATTTTGTAATGGCACAAAAGTAAAACACTACAGACTATAAGATGGTTACTTCCTTGCAAATAAATCTAAGTCATTTTATAAAACAGTATGAACACTCTTTAACAGCAAATTATCCTCTCCTGGGCTACACTAAATTCCACCCCTCCCAATACACACACCCACACACACGCATGCACATGCGCATGCACGCACACACACACACACGCATGCACACCACTGACCTGTACAGGGGCCTCACTCTTCATAAGATGGCGGACCTTGCTGAGGATAGACTGCTGGAGCTGGGCCCAGGAAACAGCTCTGTCTTCCCTTATCAGGAAGGGTGGCCCAAACCTGAAAATCCAAGGAAATCGGGTTATCCCAGCAAAGGAAAAACCAGCAACATCCACCAGTCATGAGTGGTTGTTCTAACCCTGGCTTCCTGTCAATAGGATAAGTGACAAGAGCTAAGCACAAAAACTCAACAGCAAAAAAAACCAAAGAATCCCATTTAAAAATGGGCAAAGGGTCTGAATAGACATTTCTCAAAATGACACACGTAGCCAACAGGCATATGAAAAAATGCCCAACATCACTAATTATCAGGGAAATGCAAGTCAAAACCCCAATGAGATATCATCTTACCCCAGTTAGGATGGCTATTATCAAAAAGACAAGAAATAACAAATGCTGGTGAGGATATGGAGAAAAGGGAACTCTTATACACTGTTGGTGGGAATGGAGACACCGTGGAGAAAAGCATGGAGGTTCTTCAAAAAACTAAAAATAGAACCACCATGTGACCCAGCCATCCCACTACTGGGTATTTATCCAAAGGAAAGATCATCATGTCAAAGAGATCTCTGCACTCCTGTGTTTACTGCAGGGCTATTCACAATAGCCAAGATTCCAAATCAACCTAAGTGTACATCGGTGGATGAATGGAAAAGAAATGAAAAAGAAAATGTGGTCTATATACACAACGGAATACTATGCACCCATAAAAAAGAAATGAAATCCTGTTGTTTGCGGCAAGATGGATGAGGCTGGAGGACATTATGTTAAGTGAAATAAGTCAGGCACAGAAAGATAAATACTGCATGTACTCCCTCATGTGGAATCTAAAAAAGTTAATGTCACAGAAGTAGAGTAGAATAGTGGTTCTACTAGAGGCTGGGAGGCGCCAGTGGGGGCTAGGAAAAGGTTAGGTAATGAATAAAAATTATAGCTAGATAGGAGAAATAAGCTCTAGTGTTCTATAGCAATATAGAGTGACTATTGTTAACAATAATTTATTGTATGCTTTCAATAGCTAGAGGATAGGATTTTGAATCTTCCCAACACAAAGAAATGATAAATGTTTGAGGTGACGGTTATGCCAATTACCCTGATTTGATCATTACACACTATGTACATGTATCAAAATATCACTCCGTACCCCATAAATATGTACAATTATGTGTCGATTAAAAATAATGTAAATGCTTTTTAAAGCCAAACACAATACAAAATTGCCAATCAGAGAACCTTGTAACAAATGGAGACACTGCAATGTAAGCAGAGGCCCAGTGACACAAAGCCAGGTAGATGCTGCTGTGTAAACAGATTACTCAAAATGACCAGCTAGCTGGCAAAATCTCTTACTCACAGCAGGGAATAGAGTAAGACAAGCTTGGAGCCAGGGGAAGGCAAGGCAGAGACATAAATCCAGATGACACAACTTTGGTTGGGGTATCGAGAATATTCTCATCACTGGGATGGTATCCATGTCCCAACATAGTAAGCGCACAGCAGTGAGCTCATGGTGTACAGAATGCTGGGTGAGCCTGCGCCTATGGGCCCTAACTCTGCCGTGGGTACTCCTGGACAAATCACTAGCGACTCACTGCTTCCTGGCCTCGCTGCAGCCTGTGTGAAGACCCAATGAGGTAAGAATGTGAAATTGTTGAATAAAATTGGCTAAAGCAGAACACAAATATGAGGTGATCTGTCTGGACAGGCAAGGGCACTGTGCGTCCATTGTTGTATGGACAGATCGGTTTACTTAATCCATCCTGTACTGTGAGGCATTCCAAGTTTTTATTTAAACAATGCTTGCTTATCGCAGGAACTAGATATAACCTTGGACATAACCTTTGAGCGCACAATTATTCCCTTAGGGTAAAGTTCCAGAAGTAGAAAGACAAGACTAAAGCTCTTTCTTCCCAAACTGTCCTCCAAAGAAGCCATACCAATTTACCTGATTCCCCGGACTCTGGCCCAGAATGAGTATTATCAATTTCTAAAAATCATTTAACAATCTAAGAGGTTAAGAATAGTATCTTGCTATTGCAACCAGAATTTCTCCCACTACAAATGATGCTGATTTTTTTTTTTTTTTTTTTTTTTGAGATGGAGTTTCACTCTTGTTGCCCAGGCTGGAGTGCAGTGGCACAATCTCGGCTCACCGCAACCTCCGCCTCCCGGGTTCAAGCAATTCTCCTGCCTCAGCCTCCCGAGTAGTTGGGATTACAGGCGTGAGCCACCATGCCCGGCTACTTTTGTATTTTTAGTAGGGATGGGGTTTCTCCATATTGGTCAGGCTGGTCTCAAACTCCTGACCTCAGGTGATCCGCCCGCCTCAGCCTCTCAAAGTGCTGGGATTACAGGCGTGAGCCACCGTGCCAAGCTGATGCTGAATATTTTAACCTATGCTTGTATTTCTTCTGTGAACTAATGTTCATCTCTGTGGTTCATTTCACCAAGGGTATTTATCTCCTTAATTTTCAAGAGCTGGAAAATTCGAGGATGGACATAAATCCTTCACCTCTCACATGGCATAAATATCTTTCCTCATTTGTCCTTTGCCTTTCAAATTTGCTTTTAGTTTAAATTTTTAAATATATTTAAAACATCAGCCTTTTCCTTTACAGCCTCCTGACTTTGATGTTAAACTAGCCCCCACCCAAGGACATAAATATTCTCCCATGTTGTCTTTATTAATTTATTTTTTATTTTTTATTTATTAATTTTTTTTTGAGACAGTCTCGATCTGTCGCCCAGGCTGGAGTGCAGTGGTGCAATCTCGGCCGACTGCAACATTTGCCTCCTGGGTTCAAGCGATTCTCCTGCCATAGCCTCCCAAGTAGCTGGAACTACAGGTGCGTGCCACCACACCTGGATAGTTTTTTGTACTTTTAGTAGAGATGGGGTTTCACCGTGTTAGCCAGGATGGTCTCGAACTCCTGACCTCATGATCCACCCACCTCGGCCATCTTTAAGTTATTTCATGGCTTCCTTTTCTCTAGTTACCTCTCTAGTCAACCTGAAATTTATACGTGTGAATTCATAGCAGGAGTAAAAAGTTGACTATTTAAAATAAAAAGCAACAAAGAAATCAATTAGCCCAGCCTTACTTTTGAACAATTCACTCACTCTGTAGTAATATGAAATATACCATAATTCTGAAATTATTAAAATATTGTAATACAGGCAGAAGAATATGCAATTAAATCAAACAAAATAGACCAACTATCTGTAAGTATTTATTACATGATAAAAATGATGTATTTCATATTACTAAGAGTTAATGAATTATTCAATAAGTAAGGCTGGGCTAATTGATTTTTAAAAGCTGAGCTAATTAATAATAGTTTAATTATTATTAAATAATCTTTTTGTTTTTACCAGTTTATTATTCAAGATACATTTTTAGAAACATTTTATCCATCTAAATATATCTTAATGTAATTCTGTCTTTTAAACACTTTATTTGGGCTATATAAGAAAGCTATCTGTTTTTGTATATTTGTTATATAACCCATCAATTTCCTGAACCCTTTCCTTACTGCCAATCACTTTCCAGTTCTTGGTTTTCTGGACAGACAACCAAATTATCACCTCTTTTCTTATAGCCAGTTTCTTTTAGCACTGCACCGCCTAGGTTTTACAATATAAAATAACAGTGGTGAAGGCAGTAAAAATTGTTCCTCCGATTAATAGGAAGGCCTCTGATGTCTGATGGTTAGGAATGATGACGTTAGCCAAATGCTTAAGGCAGATATTTCTAATCCTCTTAATCAGAAAGGACCCTACTTCTGGCTCCTAGTTTATTAACCTTGGGAATAAATGTTTAATTTTACTCTAGACAGGCTCCCAAGTACAGGTCTACAAATCCCAGACACCACATGAAAAAAGAATAAAGTGAAACATACCTGCTAGCCTGCTGCCCTGACCCCACCAAGTTACAGAAGAGGATTAGCACCTTGCTCTCACTGTGGAGAGAGAGGGAGAATCGCTGGCCCTCACGGGCTGCCAGGCGTGGGGAGGCCGACAGACCCAGTGGATGAGCTAGAAGGGAGAGAATGACATTTGTTCATATTCCTAAAGGAGCTGCTTTCCTGGGTCAGAGCCTTAGCTTCTCTAGTCCCTCTTTCTCTTTGAGCATCTATTAACCACCAATGGGGGGCCACTAGAGGGCTTTAGGGGAGGAGATAATGAGGTTCATGGCATTTGTGCCATCTGACGCCTGGCATACGAACATCAAGAATATGGTAGTGAATTTGCAATTGTGTTCACCCAATAGTTTTTTGTTTGTTTAAGACAGAGTCTCGCTCTGTCCCCCAGGCTGGATGGAGTACAGTGGCACAATCTTGGCTCACTGCAAACTCTACCTTCCAGGTTCAAATGATTCTCCTGTCTCAGCCTCTCCAGTAGCTGGGATTGTGGATGTGCACCACCACGCCCAGCTAATTTTTTTGTATTCTTAGTAGAGATGGGGTTTCACCATGTTGGCCAAGCTGGTCTTGAACTCCTGACCTCAAGTGATCCTCCTGCCTTGGCCTCCCAAAGTGTTGGGATTTCAGGCGTGAGCCACTGCACCTGGCCATCACCCTATAGTTTTAAAACAGGAACAAGAATTTAACTAATATATTTCAAGTCACCTGAAAAATACTCCAAAATAATTTTGGTTGCTTTTATGACTTCATTACAGAGTCCCCAGTTTATCTACTCTCTTAGAAAGCCAACATAAGAAGTATATAGAGATGGGTGAGAATCTTTACCAGTGAGGAAGTAGAGGAATTGGACTAGCCTCCATTTGCAATCAGTTCTGAAATGTTGACTTTCAAGGAAAAGATGTGTCCACCATGATTGAATTTGAAAGGAGAACTTGTTTCACTGGGTTGTAATATAGTCAGTGTCAGTTAATGTCTTGTTCTAGATTCCAATGCCCAGCATCTCCCTGTCAACTCAGAGAACTTCAAACATCCAGTTCCCATAGCCTGCTACCTAGGCTGGCCAAAATGTGGGGCCAGGGCGTAGGAATCATCTGGGGTATAAAGTAACACTGGCACAGGGTCCTTTAAATATGGGCCTTCTGGCCGGGTGTGGTGGCTCACACCTGTAATCCCAGGACTTTCGGAGGCTGAGGCAGGTGGATCACCTGAGGTTAGGAGTTCGAGACCAGCCTGGCCAACATGGTGAAACCCCATCTCTACTAAAAATACAAAAACTAGCCAAGCGTGGTGGCAGACACCTGTAGTCCCAGCTACTTGGGAGGCTGAGGCAGGAGAATCACTTGAACCCAGGAGGTGGAGGTTGCAGTGAGCCAAGATCACGCCACTGCACTCCAGCCTGGGTGACAGAGTGAGAAACCATCTCAAATATATATATATATATATATATATATATATATATATATATATATATAATATATTTTATATATATTTATCTATATATAATATAGATATTTAGCTATATAATATATTACATATTTATCTATATTATATTTATTTATATATATTTATTTATTTTATTTATTTTATTTATATATATATTTATTTATATATATATTTATATATATTTATCTATATTATATATAACATATATAATTATTAAATATATATCAAATATATTAAATACATATTAAATATATATTATATAATATATTCTATATAATGTATATATTATATAGTATATATTATATAGTATATTATATAGTATATATTATATAGTATATATTATATAGTATATATTATATAGTATATATTATATAGTATATATTATATAGTATATGTCATATATTATATTATATATGATATATAATATACATTTTATATATATTATATATTATATGTAATAGATAACATATATTTTATATATTACATATAATATATAATATATATATGGGTCTTCTTCACTAACTTGGCCAAAATGTATCCTGATCTACAAATAAAAAGGACTGTTAGAAATTGACCATGTTAGCCAGTCCATGGAATAGGAAAAGCAAGCATTAAGAAGTGGAACTATTTTGTTAAAAAGTCATTTAATAAAACTTTAACCACGTACTGCTCAAATTTGTAGACATTTTACTTCACACACAAATCTTGACCCATAGGAATCCTGACGGCAAAGATGACTCCAGCATCTATACCAAATAGTGGTTCTCAAAGTGTGGTTCCTGGACCAGCAGCATCGGCATCACCTGGGAACTTGGTTAGATGTGCAAACTCTTAGGCCCCACCCCAGGCCACCCAAATCATAAACTCTGTGGGTAGGGTCCAGAAATCTGCTTTCACACGCCCTCCAGGTGATTCTAATATTCACTAAGCTTAGTTTTGAGAATACTTGTGTTAGGTGAATAATTTTTAATATCAACCATCTGCACACAACGAATGCCAGGGATAATAAGTCTGACTGTTCCAAGTGCTAAAATTGGATGTTTTATGCCTTTGCACCCAAGGAGTATCCTCTGAAACCTGTAACTCATCATAGCCAAATAAAATTGTGCAAAGCACCTGTTATACCTGAGAGAGTCCCCTGGCTGGGTGAGGGAGGAACTTGAAAGGCATACACATTATCTCCCTCTGCGATGGTATTCAGGTCCTCTTCATCAAAGAAAGACCGCTGGAATCCACTGGGATACAGTTCAACCAAGATCACCTGAAATGAGAAAGATCATTTTCCCTCTTGATTTCTGAAAGAGAAATCAACAGATAAGAAATCTAAAAGTGACTGATAGTCAACACCCATTTTTCACCTTTTCCTTCCAATTGGCTACTTATTTTTAGTAATAAGGCAGCATAGTAGATACAACCATTAGATTGTCCTCAGACATCTCAAGTGCAACAAAAAAAGAAACTGAAAAAAAAAAAAAAAATCTAAGTTTTATACCCAGCTAAACAAGCATAGAAAAATGACAACAAAATAAAGCCCTCTTCATGTGAACAAAAAGTGAGTGTTTACTACAGAGTGAAAGAATTTCTGAATAGGTTTACTAACCTTTTTCACGTGATTGCATACATAAAAAAAATTTTTACCAAACATTGAAGTAAATAGGAGATGGTTTTGTAGCAGAGTAGAGGGGTGACTACTGTGGGGGCCCTGACTGCCCTAGACCCAACTCTGTTACCCTGATGCTGAAGAAATCAATATCTCAGCACACATAACCTATTCAAGGTACACTGCCTGGGAAGTTCTCGTTAAAAAGATGCATTTTGGGTGCCTGTAGTCCCAGCTACTACGGAGGCTGAGGCAGGAGAATGGTGTGAACCCGGGAGGCGGAGCTTGCAGTGAGCCGAGATCGTGCCACTGCACTCCAGCCTGGGCGACAGAGCGAGACTCCGTCATTAAAAAAAAAAAAAAAAAAAAAAAAAAGATGCATTTCAGGGCTGGGCACCGTGGCTCATGCCTATAATCCCAACACTTTGGGAGGCTGAGGAGGGAGGGTCACTTGAGCCCAGGAGTTCAAGACCAGCCTGAACAATACAGCAAGACCACATCTCTACACAATTTTTTTAAAAAATTAGCCAGGCATGGTGGCATGAGCCTGTAGTCCCAGCTACTCAGGAGGCTGAGGTGGGAGGATCCCTTGAGCCCAGGAGTTCAAGGCTGCAGCAAGCTATGATCACACCCCTGCACTCCAGCCTGGGCAACAGAGGAAAACCCTGTCATTCATTCATTCATTCATTCATAAATACATAGATTTCAGGATTTAAAAACCTGAATCAAAGAGAAAACTTGAGTTGTAGGAAGAAATGATGAACCAAAGAAAATGGTAAACATTGGCAAAGGTAAATATTATCAACTATATAAAGCTAAAATAATAACTATTATTACTATTACAGTTGGAGGTGGAGAAGGGATTAAAATACTGGACAATAATATCTAAATCAAAAAGGTATAAGGGGATTTAATGCATACCAAGATCCTTGTGTTACATGGGAAGATTGGCTTTAGACTCGTAATTATGCAAGTTGACATTTTAGTAACCACTAAAAGAATGGAAATATAATGTATATATTATATTTACATATACATATTGACATGTACATGAAGTACATCTTCTGGATGTACTTCATCCCAGAAAAGATGAAATAAAGAAAAATTGCTCAATGTAAAAGAATCATCTTCTAAAAGAAAAAGACTGTTCAATCTAAAAATGGGGGGGGAGGGGCGGTACAAAATAGGAAAACAGGGTAAATAGCATAAGATGACATAAATAAATAAGATGACATAAATAAATCCAAATACAGGCCGGGCGCAGTGGCTCACGCCTGTAATCCCAACACTTTGGGAGGTTGAGGCGGGCAGATCACAAGGTCAAGAGATCGAGATCATCCTGGCCAACATGGTGAAACCCCGTCTCTACTAAAAATACAAAAAATTAGCTGGGTGTGGTGATGCATACTCAGGAGGCTGAGGCAGGAGAATCGCTTGAACCTGGGAGGCGGAGGTTGCAGTGAGCCGAGATCGTGCCACTGCACTCCAGCCTGGCGACAGAGGGAGACTCCGTCAAAAAATAAATAAATAAAATAGAAAAATAAATCCAAGTACATATATCTATGATTTTATATAACATAAATATAATACACTTGCCAGTTAAAGAAAACAAAGCATCAAAATAGATGACTTTCAGTTTCAGTGGAAATGCCCGTCCCACACTGGCATCCCCAACTGACTCCCATCTCCCTGAACCAACACATCACACCTCTCAAATTCCTGCCAGATTTTTCACACTCTTAATTATTCAAACGCTCCCTCTCATAGACTTCTCCCTTTTGATCTTTTCTTACTGTCACTTTCTCCCCAGGACTCTCACCCACTGTCCCCCTCTCTCTCCGTCTCTTTCAGTAACTCCCCATAGTGCACTTTAAAGTTTACAAAGCAAGATACACACATTTCCCCTGCTATTTGAGAGAGTCATAAATATTCTATGAGGTAGCGATAGAGGTCAGAGGGATTGATTGGGCAGGGGCAGAAAGGAGCCCACTGGGGTGATGGGGAGGCTCAGGAAGCGTGGAGGTTATAGGAATGTAGCTATGAACGTAGAGAAAGCCAGCAAACCACAATCTTCAGATAGGTAGACGTTATTGTATGTGTGGCATGCCTTCCCAACAAGGTTAAAAATATTTTTTGATTTGAAAAAATCCCATGAGATAGTCAGGGAAGTGTCAATTTCCATGTCACAGTTAAGGACACAGAGCCAATCACATACTGTGTCCAGGGTCAGAAACCTAGGGAGCTACTGAATCACCCTGAGGGCCGCTCCCATCCTGCCATGTGGCTTGGCGCCACCACGGCCTCCTCCCTATTCCTCATGAGGGCCCCTCCAGGCACTGTGAATCCAATCGCTTTACTAAGACTCGTTTGAAAAGAAAACAGGTAGAACACAGCCATCCCAGCTTCCGCCAGATGTTCTCTCTCATGTTATACATCCTCAGTTCTCTCAGCAGGTCCTCCTGCTTCATTTACTGTTCCTTTACTGTCCTGGTTTATATTGCCAAGACTGAAAATATACAATGGTGACTTGGGCTATGAAGTCAAACCATCGAAATCCAAATCCTGGCTCAGCCACTTACTAGCTAGTGACGTTGGGCAAGTCACTTAACCTCTCAGGGCTTCTTTATTCCCCATTAGTAAGATGAGGATAATTGTAATGTCTACTTCACAGGACGCCTGTGATTAAATCAGGCATGAATAGAAAGTTCACAGAATAGTGCCCCACACTTAGTAAGCACTACCTAGGGGTAGCTATTGCTGGAATTATTATGATCATAATTGTCATTGCCTTCTCGGAAGGCAAAGGTGTTCTTTTCTGGTCATTCTGTGTCAATGCAGGGAAAAGTCAAGGCCCAGTCATCCCAGACAGCAGGCATTACTAATCAACCAGAAACCCATGAGTCATACTGGAGTCACCTGGGAACCACAAATTGGCCTAAACAGCCTAGACAGCTGGCTCAGTTAGCATTCTATCATCCAATGACCAGGCCCCAGTGCAATTCTATCACACCTCATCTGCAGGGACGCCTCCTTCCTCTGCAACCATCTTCCTCAGGGCTGCCACTGTGCTGAGGATCGGCACGGCCAGGCCAACCCGCAGGAACCGCTGGCTCTTAGAGGGGAAGACCAAGGTGACACTCAAGAACCTGGAAAATAGGAAGGGGCAACACCCTTAAAGGACTGACATGAACTGTGAATGACATTGTTGATAATGGATCAAGGCCAGGCGCAGTGGCTCACACCTGTAATCCTAGCATTTTGGGAGGCTGAAGCAGGTGGATCACCTGCGGTCAAGAGTTCGAGACTAGCCTGGCCAGCATGGTGAAACCCCATCTCTACTAAAAGTACAAAAAAATTAGCTGAGTGTGGTGGCGGATGCCTGTAATCCCAGCTACTTGGGAGGCTGAGGCAGGAGAATCGCTTGAACCTGAGAGGCGGAGCTTGTAGTGAGCAGAGATGGCACCACTGCACTCCAGCCTGGGTGACACAGCAAGACTCCATCTCAAAAAGAAAGAAAGAAAGAAAGATAATGGATCAAGTTCAGCACATAGTTAATCTCCGCTTCCTGGTTGTGTCCCTGTACTTGGTACATTGTCACCAGGTGGCAGGGTAGAGCCAAATCTTCTAAATTACTTTTCCAGAGAATTGGGGGAAAAAGTATTTGATTAAGAATCACCATAGAGATGTCCGATCTCAAGGCTCTAGTTGTTAAATAGATAAGCTTAAACAAAAACAAACTCCAAAGTTTGAAAATTAAAGCAGTCAAGGTGTTTTTTTCAGTACAAATCAACACTACTGATGACATTCTCCTTAATGAGAGTCTCCTTTGGAAATCTCTGCTTCCCCTTCCCACCGGCATATGAAGGCCCACTCTTGCAGCTACTGTTTCTCTTGATCTGTACTCCAATAACTGCCCAAGTCACACAGGTAATTAATTAATAGAGCTGGGATTCGAACCTGGGCCGTCTGGCTCCAGAGTCAGTGGTCTTGACCACTCTGCTGTGCTGTGTCAGGCTGGGAGTCTTAGATCATCACATCTATAAGTTGACATTATCTGATGGTGTCACTGATGATAGACAGCATAAGCCATGTTATAGCATAAGCCAGTAGTTATATTTGTAGTGCAGAAGATCAGCAGCACACAATTTTAGAGCAGAAAGGGAGATTGAGTTGCCAAGCAAGGCCCTCTGAAGATGTTATGTCTTCAGCTGCATCCTAAAGGCAGGGGATGTCAATAGGAAGAGGGTAAGAGAAATGGCACTTAAGGAGGTGGGGAACATAAAGAGGAAATACCTCTCTTCCAATGCCAGAGAAGACACCCCACATAGGAGCTCACCCACATGCCAGGACACTGACATTGGCCATTTGCCTTCCTGGTCACTGCTAAGATTTGGGCTTATTTTTATAGAACTCGGCCCATGGTGCCTGTTACCCAGCCCTACCTCCACTTTTCTTTTTTTTTCTCATCTTCCCCAAACAACCCCTTTCCTCTTTCTTTGCTCCTTAAAGAAATCTTTTTCCTGCACCTTCTCAAAGAAGAAAATAGATTTTTGAAGTTGAAGTAAAGCTGGGGAAAAAAAAGCAGGTGGCCACGGATTTTCTCTAGTTTGCCCCTGTCTCACTAAGTGAGACCAATGGGTCCGTGCCAGCTTCTGAATGGGCCACAGATCTAAGTCTGGCAATTGTGCCAAACATTCATAATTCCTTCCTCAGCTAGAGAAGGAACACAGTAACCTTTCACTCTGTCAATTTCAATAGTTGAATGTCATCCAGCTATAAGGCTGGTTTCCAGAGAAATGCTGGCTGAGAAGCAAAGGAGAGAAAATGGCAGGTGTGAGGCCAGAAGCTTCCCCGTAATGAGTAAGGATGGAAGTCAAGTTCACCGGGCAAGCCGCGACACTCACGTACCTCGTCTGGCGCAAGGGGATAGGTAGGGACACACACAGGAAAGGATCAAAGGTGTTGCTCTGTTTCAGGCAGTGGGGACAAGTCAAGGAAGATCTGTGAGGGTGAAGAACAGAGGCGAACGTTTAATCACACGTAAACAATTTGGGGGTAAAATTCAATACAGAATTATCCTTGCATTTCCACTCCCTGTGATTCCACTCGTAGGTACATACCCAGAAGAATTGAGAACAGGTGTTCAAATACTTGTACACAAGTGTTCATAGCTGCTCTATTCACAATAGTTAAGGTGGGAACAACCCAACCGTCCATCAACAGACAAATGGGTAAACAGAATATGATACGTCCACATAGTAGAGTACAACTCAGCCATAGAAAGGAATGAACCCCTGGTCCATACTACAACGTGGATGAACCTTGAAAACAGCACGCTAAGTGAAAGAAGCCAGACATGAAAGCCCACATATTGTACGATCCCGTTTATATGAAGTATCCAGAACAGGTAATGCCATAGACACAGAAAGCAAATTGGTGGTTGCCAGGAGCTGAGGGAAGGGAGGATGAGGCTGACTGCTTACTGGGTACCAGGTTTTATTTTGGGGTGATGAAATGTTTAGGAACTAGGAGGTGGTAGCTGCACAACACTGTGAATGTACATGTCACTGATTTGTACGCTTTAGAATGCTTAACTTTATGTTACAGGACTTTCACCTCCGTTTTTTTAAAAGGGAAAAGAATGTTTAGTGACACACATAAATGCACTGAGTATGGGAAGGGAAGCTATAACCCGCCCCTGCCATACAAACCCAGCATGCCAACTTCCAAGCTGAAGGGATCTCAGGACCATCTCTTCCCCTGCTTCTCAGCCTCACTGTGCCCCAGAACCACAGGAAGGCTTTTTTAAAATTCCAATGTCCAGGCCCCACTCCCAGAGATTCTGTTTCAAGGTGGGTAGAGAGGGGTCCAGACATCAAAATCTTTCTAAAATCCTGAGCTTTTAAGCTCCCCAGATGACCCTAGTGTTCTCCCATAGTAGAGAATCACTGACACTGCCCACCCTCCTTATTGTACAGAAGAAGAAACCATAAGAAATAGCTCCTTAAAGTAATAACTAACATGGAAATAGCATGTACTAAGAACCAAGCATAATTCTGAGCACTTAGCATAGATGAACCCATTTACCACCCATAGCAACTGATATTATACACATTTTACAGAAGAGAAATCTGAAGCACACAGAGGTTAAGTAATTTGCTGAAGAACACACAGCTCTTAAGTAAGAAAGCTAGGCTCAGTTTCCAGACTCCGTGCTCATATCATTCCTGCGTTCTTTCGTAGAAGTCGGTGAGGTGTCAGTTGGTTCAGAGTAGATATATATAATGTTCATTTATATTCTTTCAACTCTTTTAAACTTAATACTCCTTTACTTTAGAATGGATCTCTGAAAGTGAAATGCAACTTTTTTTTGTTTGTTTTTGGAGACGGAGTCTCGCACTGTCACCCGGGCTAGAGTGCAATGGCGCGATCTCGACTCACTGCAACCTCTGCCTCCCAGATTCAAGCGATTCTCCTGCCTCAGCCTCCTGAGTAGCTGGAATTACAGGTGCCTGCCACCACGCCCGGCTAATTTTTGTATTTTTTTCAGTAGAGACGGGGGATTCACTATGTTGGCCAGGCTGGTCTCGAACTCCTGACCTTGTGATCCACCCACTTCAGCCTCCCAAAGTGCTGGGATTACAGGCGTGAGCCACTGCCCCCGGCTGAAATGCAACTTTTATATTCCACATGTACATACCAATTTTCTTTCTCTTATCATATAATGCACCATATTCTTCCAAGACACAAGGGATTTCTGCATGCTATGTTACTAATCCTAAAATCTACATTAACTTCGCTGAGGACACAGAACAAGACCGCCCTGGCAGTCTGACTCTGAAGTCTATACTCTTAGCACTGTATGACATTACCGGGATAAGTCAGCAAGTAAGCCAAAGTTGGTATCAGAACAGGTTTCCTGAGTCCTTGTGGAAAGTGCCCGTCTCGTTTGATTGGTTTTCCACTGAGCAGACAAATAGGAAAATCCAGGGACAAACAGGAACATAAACAGGAGAGTGTCGCCCGAGGCAATCCTGGGTGATCTGCCCATTTAAGTCAGTTATCTTGGATACAACTTATCAGACCATCAACCTGATTATAGGAAACAGGCCCCAGTACTGGACATTCCATCACTCATGCTGCCTCAGGTCATTTCCCTTTGGGAGACCCATGGTAGTGTTTTTGTTGAAAGCATTGTATCAGACAGTGAACACCAGCCAGCCAGAAATCCAACATTTCTGGGGTCTCCTCTGCCACTGCGTCTCTCCTCCAATCCTTCTCCACCTCTGTCCATCACGTACCTAGGCAAAAAATTGGCCTGAAGGATATACTTGGGTCATTGGGAAATTCCCAAATTCCCATTTCACAAGTATATAAACCAATGAGAGAGAATGTTTTTCATTGACGTCTTCATGCTTTTCAGCCTACCAAAACTATGCTGGGTTGCATTTTTCTTGAAGCATTGCGACATATTAAACTGGTTCAGGAATATGACTTTTACATTGAGCCACCAACTCCTATCAGCTAGCAAGCGATGAGTGGTTTGTAGAAAAAAAGTAGAATGGGCAAATTTTATATTGAAAGAATGAAAACGATGGCCAGGCGCAGTGGTTCACGCCTGTAATTCCAGCATTTCGGGAGGCCGAGGTGGGCAATCACCTGAGGTCAGAAGTTCGAGACCAACCCGGTCAACATGGTGAAACCCCATCTCTACTAAAAATACAAAAATTAGCCGGGCGTGGTGGCAGGTGACTGTAATCCCAGCTACTTGGGAAGTTGAGGCAGAAGAATCGCTTGCACCCGGGAGGCGGAGGTTGCAGTGAGCTGAGATCGCGCCATTGCACTCCAGCATGGGTGACAAGAGCAAAACTCTGTCTCAAAAAAATAAAAATAAAATAAAGAATGAAAAAGTATAATGTTTTCATAATAAACTATAGGAAAGATGTCAAATACATCCACGTGTCAAAGGTTCAGAAATCAGGACAGACTGATGTGACAAACAGATCTGAAGAAGATGGAGAGGCAGCTTCACTTTTACAAAAAGTTCTGCCCATGTTACCAGGCTAGAGCAATACCCCTATGTGGCCTGATGGATGCCTCCATTCTCCCCATTCCCTCCAGGACATTCACAGTCCTGCCCTGTTGTCTCACAAGTGCACTCAAGGGGAAAAGGAACAGAAAATCACCCCACTGCCTTTCAATGTTCACAGGCCCATTTCCCTAAGGTATTCATTCTCCTTGTCAAATTGCTTCTGTTAACAAAGCTAATCCCGTCAGTGCTATTAAAACTCAGGGCTGCGGTTTGCTTTTCCACCTGCTACAAACGCCCACCAAAGAGCCCCAGGCTTTGCCCCTGAATTTCTTGTCACTCTGCCCTTTAACTGCTGCCAAATACACACACATCTTTCACCTCAAACCCAGTCCACTTTACCTGCTCACTGAACAGTGGATCTGACGTCTATGCAAACAACAGTAATTATGCCAATACGTAAGCAAGATCTCACCTTTCCAAGATCTGTTCTGAGGAAGCCTTCAAAAACATCCTTAGACTTTCTGTGGATAAAGGCTATGAAGGACATGAAGAATTTGTGCACACACACACACACACACACTCCCTCCTCCAGCCAAAACTCCAACATAGCCACAATCGTTGGTCGTTAGACTTGCAGACATTTTTAGACTGTGATGATAATCACATAGAATAACTAAATATCTTTGCTATAGTCCAGGATCTTCGGTACTCTAGTACTGGAGGTTCCTTTTCTCTCCCCCAGCCAAAGTCAAAAACTCAGCCCCTTAAAAGGGGTTTAAGGGAAGATGCCTCTGAATTAACCCATAATAACATCCATCTCTCAATTACATCAAGAAGGCTGATGCCATCCCAGGCAAGCCCTCCCCAGGGAGAGGAAGCCAGGAGAGAGTCAGGGACAGCAGGAGACGCCAGCCAGGCACTTCCCCCACTGACCACTGCAGAAAACCACCCCTCAGACCTCAAGGCATCCCTGACGACACCTTGTCTTTATCAGCAGGCACAAAGCTGGCATTTTTAGCCATTGCCAGTTCATCTTTAGCGTGAACACCTCGCCTCTTACTCATCATGCTATAGGAAAAAATACCCAAAGGGCATTGATGGTCCTTAATATCCAATCAGCTCAAATGTCACTCCCTCGGAAGTCCTCCCCACCCCCGATTCATCCCACGCCAAGTCAGGCATGTACTTCAAAGCACCCTCGATTTTTCCTCCAAAGTACTCACCAGTTATAATCATAGAAAAACCCAAGAGTCACCCTAGAGTCTCACCTCTCCCTTAGTTCCTCTACCCCTCACCCCGTTAGCAAGACTGGGGTGAGGGTTGTGGGGTGGAAGGACTAATGGAAAGATGCTGACTCTCCATCCAAAAACATACTCCAAACCCCTCCACTTCCCTCCATCTCTACCGCCACCTCTGCAGTTCCAACCACCATTGCTCTCCCACTGGGACCACAGTGGCACCAACTGTTGCTCCTGCCTCCTCTTGCCTCCCTGCATTGCTCATAAAAAGCAGTTGCCTCTGGGCCAGGTGCAGTGGCTCACGCCTGTAATCCCAGCACTTTGGGAGGCCGAGGCAGGTGGATCACTAGAGGTCAGGAGTTCAAGACCAGCCTGGCCAGCATGATGAAACCCCATCTCTACTAAAAATACAAAAATTTGCTGGGCATGGTGGCACACGCCTGTAGTCCCAGCTACTTGGGAGGCCGAGGCAGGAGAATGGCTTGAACCTGGGAAGCAGAGGTTGCAGTGAGCCGAGACTGCGCCACTGCACTCCAGCCTGGGTGATAGCATAAGACTCCGTCTCAAAAAAAAAAAAAAAAAGCAGTCACCTCTGAAACTAATGAACTAGATCACTCCCTCCTTTAACTCTGCAGTGTCTTCCTGTGCCCTTGAGACTAAAACCCGCACACTTGGACTGAAAACCTGCCCTACCAGGTCCCCACCCACCTCTCCAGCCATCTCCAGCGCATGCCTGTAATCCCAGCTGCTCTACTCACTCCTTGGCAGCTACCTTGGGCTTTCCATTCCTTGAACTTGCCAGGATTATTCCCACTTCTGGCCCTTTGCCTGTGCTGTGTCCTCTGCCTGGAATACTCTGTGCCCAGTTATTAAAATGGCAGACTCCTTGTCACTCTGTTTTCAGCTCCGAAAAGAAGCCTAGTCCCTGCCCGCCTTATGGAATGTGGGCCACTTCCCCGCCTCCCAAGTGCTTCCTTATCTTTCTGCTGATGGCTATCACAGGTTGTTGTTTACTTGTACATTATCTAGCATTCCCCCAGGTAGAATGCGAGCTCCCTGAGAACAGGGGCTGAGTCTTGTTCACAGCACCTACAAGACAACCCAGCACGCAGTAGGGCATGAATGAAATATCTAAAGAATCAACAAGGATTCAGCCAGGAGTTCTACTCCTCATGGTAACTATTGGACCAAGCACATTAGCAGGCACTTGAATATTTGAAAGAAGGAAGAAGAGTATGTGGACGAGAGGGGAAATGAATAGAGAAATAGGTGAATTAATTGTACAAGCACACAGATGAATTCGACCTGCTGGCGATGATCAGTGATCTCTCCCCTCTCTCTAACATGCCTTCACCTTATACTCCCCTTTCCCTTGTTCTAAATGTTCTTCTTTCACTTTCTCTATGCTTTTCCTCTGTCTCCTTATTTTTGGTTCTAGCACCCTCTGCGTTGGGCACCTGAAGAGGAGACAGATGCCCGGCCGGGCGTGGTGGCTCAGGTCTGTAATCCCAACACTTTGGGAGGCCGAGGCAGGTGGATCACAAGGTCAGGAGTTCGAGACCAGCCTGACCAACATGGTAAAACCCCATCTCTACTAAAAATTAAAAAAAAAAAAAAAATTAGCCAGGCATGGTGGCACGCACCTGTAATCCCAGCTACTCAGGAGGCTGAGGCAGGAAAATCACTTGAACCCGGGAAGTGGAGGTTGCAGTGAACCAAGATCGTGCCATTGCACTCTAGCCTGGGCAACAGAGGGAGACTCTGTCTCAATAAATAAATAAATAAGACAGATGCCCTACAAGCGGCTTTCATGGCCAATAGCTTTCAAGGCTGGTGACCACAAAATCTAGGTTTCCTCTCTGCATACCTCCTGGAGAGTTACCACATCCCTCAGGAAATGAGCAAGGCTTTCTTCAGGCATGACAGAGAAATCTGAGCTCATAGAGGTGAGATCCTCTTTACCCTGTATACTAAACAACCTCAAGCAAGCAGGAACGAAGAGCCCGCAGTCATCCCGGCTGTTTCTTCAGGGTCCCTGTCCCTGGTGAGGCAGAGCGTGAGAGAACTTGTCAAGTGCTATAGATTTTTCTTCACCAGTGGAAAGCAGCTTAGTTTCAAAGACTATTTGGTCTTCCTAAATAAACAATCAGCCTCTAAAGACAGTAATTATATCCTATTTATCTTTTCAGTGGTTATTGAATATAACATGAATCCTAAATCAGGATAGTTTCCGGGCAGTTTTAAGTGACCTCTTGCTGTGCAAACACAAAGAATACAAATCCCCAAAAAGTATGGAAGTAAATGGCTATAAGCAAGGAAATTCTAGAAGACTGAATAATTATCTCCTTGTTTGAAGAGAAGTCAATAAGAGAAGAAAACCACCTGGAGACCTCCAAAAAACCACTGCAGAGAAATGCAAAGGAAATATTATCCAGACGACTCGGAGAAAAGCATGGCTTCGAAATGATTTAGTGCAACATCCAGAAGAAAAATACAAAAAACTTGTTTTGGTATCCATAATAGAGAACAGAGTTCCTGTGAAATTGAAGGAGCAGCAGAGAATCACAGTGAATGAACAAGGTTAGCTGGAAAAACAGAAAAATTGCAAAGAAGGCAAAAAGGCAGGACTTGTGCTTTAGACATATTTCAGGGGACAAATCCTGGTTCTGCCACTTACCATGTGTCTGTAGAAAAAGCCCAACTTCCCAAATTTTAATACTCATCCCCTGAGACTTTTGTAAGGCTTAAAATATATATAGACACACACACACATATAAACGCATGATTATATATATTGGCAACACACAGACACGCGCACACGTGCACGCACACATGCACACACACATATACACACACAGGCAAGCATCTTAGAGGAGGCTCTCTGTAACCAATGGCTTCCTCGTCTAAATCCCGACCACTGTGCTCATTCCCACCTTTAAGCTTGCATTTGTTCCTGTTGACTATCTTCCTACCCATTCGTACTTCTATTCATCCTGCAGAGGCCAACAAAAGGCACACTTCCTCTGAGAAGTCCATGGGGTTTTCTCCCCTCTCTGACCTTTCACTGCTGTCAGCGCTTTCACTGAACATTATAATATTGAAACGATTCTGCCTTGTATGAATCTCTGCACTTTCACATATAAAAGCTCAAAGAGAACACATACTTTCTGAAGTCAAAGGCTGTATAACTTTTTTTATTGTTTGTTTATTTATTTATTTACTTTTTTTTTGAGATAGGGTTTCACTCTGTTGCCCAGGCTGGAGTACAGTGGTGCGATCACGGCTCACTGTACGCCAGCCTCGATCACAGCCTTGACCTCCTGGGTCCAAGCAATCCTCCTATCTCAGCCTCCCGAGTAGCTGGGACCACAGGCACGTGCCACACCCGGCTAGGTTTTGTTTTTGTTTTTTGTGGTTTTTTTTGGTACAGATGGGGTCTCCCTATGTTGCCCAGGCTGTACATACATTTTTATATCCTCCATAACGCTTGGAACTCTTGAGCTCAGAATGACTTGTTAAGTTGGGCTCTCTGGAGAGAGAACAAACAGGAAGGGTCTCTCCAACTTCAGAGTGACTGCTTGCTAGTGAGATCCCAGCTCACATTTACCTTCTGTGGAATCATCCTCTTATCACCCCTCCTTCAAGTAAGGTGGAGAGCTCAGAAGCCAAGAAGAAGGAAAAGAAGAAATACCAAAGGTCAGAGACAACAGGAGTGTGTGCTTAATCAGGATTTATAATGGGAGAGAGAAGGGTGTTTGTGGTTTTGTTGTTTTGAAATCTCAGGGTAAATCTGTCAATGGGAGACTGGTTACCAGGAATTGAGTCTGCGGAGCCCTCGGGTGATACATTCTAAACACATCCCCATCTTACCTATATTGTGCTTGAAAGTGGCTTTGCACAAAGCTTTGACCTAGAGGAAGCTGAGCTGATGGTGACAGGCAGTTCTCAGAGGTTTTAGTGGCTTCAGGCGGAAGCTGCAAAGAAATGAGGAAAGGAAGCCAGATTAGATACACCTCTCATCACTCAACTGCTTCCAGACCACCGAGCCCATGCTTCCTCCTGGGCCCGCATCATCCCTTTCTGGGCCTCTGTAGAGTCTCAACCTTCAGTGCTGCCTTTACCATAACTCAAGGCTCTTTCAATCCCCTGACCTCCCAAATTCTCTGGGACAAGAAGTGTGTGTGCATTAAAAGAGCAAACCTGAGCCTGAACCTTGGTGGATGCTCGCTCATTCTCACCAGCCTCACCCGTTCCCCCTGGATGGACGGCCCTGCGCGTTATTTCTGTCCCACTCGGCTTCAATGTCTAGATGCCTCTCGTATATTTATTGGGTGGGCTTGCCATCACCTCAAACGCATCCACACCAAATCTCTCCACCTTCCACCTGCCTGCTAAATCATTCCTGCCCACATTTTCTCAGGAGTCAGTTTCACATGAGTATTCTCTTTTGCAGGCAAATGAGGCTTTTCGTTTTTCAATTTGGTACACAAGCTTCCTTCACTCTGTCCATCAGTCCTGCTGTCCTTTTCATTCCCCTTGCATTTCCTTGTTTCCTGTGGCTGTGACAGCAAATTATCACAAACTGGGGGCTGTAAACAATAGCTTACTCTCTCACAGTTCTCACGAGCAGACATCCAAAATCAGTATCACGGCACTGAAATCAAGGTGTTGGCAGGGCTGCACTCCCTCCGGAGGCTCTAGATGAGAGTCTGTTCCTTGACTCTTTCAACTCTGGTGGCTGCCGGCATTCCTTGGCTTGTGACCACATCACTCCAGTTTTCAAGCCTAGCATCTTCAACTCTCTCTCTGCTCTGTCTTCACATAGCTTTCTCCTGTGTGTGTCTCAAATTTCCCCCAGCTTCTCTTTCACAAGAACACTGGTAGTGCATTTAGGGCCCACTGGGATAATCCAGGTTAATGACCCCATCTCAAGATTCTTAATCACATCTCCAAAGTCTTTACCATAGAAGGTAATGATATAATTTGGCTGTGTCCCTACCCAAATCTCATCTTCAATTGTAATCCCCACAATCCCCACATGTCTAGAGAGAGACCTGGTGGGAGGTGATTGGATCATGGGGGCGGTTCCCCCATGCTGTTCTCGTGTTAGTGAGTGAGTTCTCATGAGATCTGATGGTTTTATAAGGGGTGCTTCCCCCTTTGCTGCTCACTCCTCTCTCTCCTGACACCTTGTGAAGACGGTGCCTGCTTCCCCTTCCACCATGACTGTAAGTTTCCTGAGGCCTCCCCAGTCATGTGGAACTGTGAGTCAATTAAACCTCTTTCTTTTGTAAGTTACCCAGTCTCAGGTATTCCTTTATAGCAGTGTGAAAACAGACTAATACAGACAACATCTACAAGATGCAGCGATTAGGACCTCATATCTTTGGGGGTCATTTTTTAGCCTATCTCACCTCAGGGCTTCTGTGTGCCCTAATGCCACCAAACTCCTCTGGACCCCTATCCCTTCCAAAATGAGTTATATGACCTTTCTAGTTTCCCTAAATTTATTCTTCACCCCCTGCCCATTCCCTACCACACATGGGACACAATATTTTGATTAAGGCCCTGTTATGCCAAAATTTCTGCCCTGGAAGAGGTCTGTCCCTAAGGGCAATCCCAGAATCAAAGCCACTCATAATATAACGCTATTTAGTAAAATATAAACGTACCTATATAAATATTGACTGGGCGCGCTGGCTCACGCCTGTAATCCCAGCACTTTGGGAGACCGAGGTGGGTGGATCACGAGGTCAGGAGATCAAGACCATCCTGGCTAACACGGTGAAACCCCACCTCTACTAAAAATATAAAAAATTAGCTGGGCGTGGTGGCGGGCACCTGTAGTCCCGGCTACTCGGGAGGCTGAGGCAGGAGAATGGCGTGACCCCGGGAGGCGGAGCTTAAAGTGAGCCGAGATCGTGCCACTGCACTCCAGCCTGGGTGACAGAGCGAGACTCCGTCTCAAAAAAAAAAAAAAAAAAATCTATGCAAGGCCCCACATAAAATATGCCCTAGAGCAGCACCTCTCAACTTTTTCATCATCACTCCCCCCATGGAGTCTTTTTAGACAATTTTTCCTAACATTTCCACCATGAAACTTGAATACCATAGATACATCGTGCACCTGTCTATATATACCTTTAGAAGAACAGGCAGGCAGTGAGGTGTACGTAAAGACCTGGGTGACATTAGGGGTAAATGTTGAAGGATTTTAGAAAGCAGACGACAGAACCAGGCAAAAGGAACATATGTGAAGCGTCTTGGGTAAGGTGTGCAATTTACTTCAAAGTACATCCAAGAAAATAAGATGAGGGGAAAAAAAGATATGAGTAATGAGTGGATAGAGAGACAGATGGGTAAATGCGTGATAAAGCAAATTTAGTACAACGTAAGTTGTAGAATCTAGGTGATGGGGAGGAGTGTTTACTGCATAATTAATTCAACTTTTCCATATGTTTGAAATTTTTCATAATAAAATATTGAGACAAGTTATGAGTGCTCAAAATGGTCATTCTTATATGTCCTAATATTTTATGACACCCAGTTTCCCTAGAATACAGGAAGTGCAAAGGGAAGTAGAAAACAGGGCTGGAAAGTGAGTCTGGTGCCACAGTGGGTGGGGGCTTCTATGTCCTAACAGAGACTACCTGGCTCAGTGAACAGCATGGTACCAGGGTCAAGAATGTCCAAACCAGGCTGGGCACAGTGGCTGACACCTGTAATCCCAGCACTTTTGGAGGCCAAGGCGGGTGGATCACCTGAGGTCAGAAGTTCAAGACCAACCTGGCCAATATGGCGAAACCTCGTCTCTACCAAAAATACAAAAAATTAGCCAGGCGTGATGGCAGGCACCTGTAATCCCACATACTCAGGAGGCCGAGGCAGGAGAATCACTTGAACCCTGGAGGCAGAGGTTGCAGTGAGCCGAGATTGCGACACTGCACTCCAGCCTGGGCAACAAGAGCAAAACTCCATCTCAAAAATACAAACAAACAAAAACAAACAAACAAAAAGAATGTCTGGGCGGGAGCAGTGGCTCACGCCTGTAATTCCAGCACTTCGGGAGGCTGAGGCGGGTGGATCACCTGAGGTCAGGAGTTCAAGACCAGCCCGGCCAACATGGTGAAACCCCATCTCTACCAAAAATACATAAATTAGCCAGGCATGGTGGCGCACATCTGTAATCCCAGCTACTTGGGAGGCTGAGACAGGAGAATCGCTTTAACCTGGGAGGCAGAGTTTTCAGTGAGCTGAGATCACACCACTGCATTCCAGCCTGGGTGACAGAGCAAGACTTTGTCTCAAAAAAAAAAAAAAAGAACATCCAAATCCCCACACCGGTACTTGACTACAAGTTACTCGACTGCTCTGATCCGGCTAAAAAAGTTACTTAATCTCTTTGCTCCATGATTTCTCAACTATAATAAAGGGATAATGACAGTACCTGTCTGATAGGGATGCTCTGAGTATTTAAAGAGTTATATATATATATAAAACATAAGGCTGAATACAGTGGCTCAAGCCTGTAATCTCAGCACTTTGGGAAGCCGAGGTGAGTGGATTACTTGAGGTCAGGAGTTCGAGACCAGCCTGGCCAACATGGTAAAATCCCGTCTCTACTAAAAATACAAAAATTAGCCGGGTGTGGTGGTGCACACCTGTAATCCCAGCTACTCAGGAAGCTGAGGGAGGAGAATTGCTTGAGCCCAGGAGGCGGAGGTTGCAGTGAGCTGAGATCGCACCACTGCACTCCAGCCTGGGCAACAGATCAAGACTCTGCCTCAAAAAAAAAAAAAAAGAGATCATATATACAAAACACTTAGAAACATGTCTGGTACAAAGCACAGTGTAGGTGGCAGTTGTTATTACACAAGGAGGAGTACCTGATGAGTTTTGAACTCAGATGGTAGCAACATGCTCGGAGAGATGCTTTAACTTGGCAGCTACTGACTCCCAGATGAAGAAGCATAAGTTTGGAGGTTAGGACACAGATTAGGAGGCTCAAGGGTTCAGGAAACAACAGGATAAGGTAGAACAGGAGACATGAAGATGAAAAGGAGGGATGGATTCAGGACACCTGTGGACGTAGCTCACCACTCGGCCCCCAACTGTGGGAGTGGAGGAACGTGATCAACTCCAAGGATCCAGTCTGGTGCCTGGAGAACCCCCGTTCCATTCACAGAGAGGTAAAGTCAAAAGGAGACGTGGGTTTGGGATGGGCATGCTGGGTTTGAGGTGACTCAATATCCAGGCAGAGACATTCATGACAAATAGGGGAAGGGCACTTGGAGGAGGTAACTTGGATGCATAGCGGACCCTAGCCTATTTTGACTGCCCCGTATCCACTCCTCCTCCTTTGGTAGTAGCAACCCCTGTTTTGGAACCCTGAATCCAGTCCATGCATGGGGAGGGCTCTTTAATCAGGGGTCCTGCCCTCACCTACCAAGGAATAGGCCCATGACCCAAGCAAGCCACACTGAGATGCTCCTACTCTGAACGTGAATCATGAACAGAGTGGCCAAAGACTGAAAACATTTGTGTGGGCTGTGCTGTCCAGGGAAGAGAATGGAGCAGTTCCTGCTGCTGAGATACCCTCACAGCTGCCTGATTCTTGACAGTTCCAAGCTGGTCCTTCAGCTTTCCCTGTCATTGAGCGTGGGGCTCCTTGGCCTTCTCCTAAGTTCCCTTCTTGTTGGAGTCAGCTCAGGTCGGTTGCTGTTGCTTGCAACCCAAGAATTCAATGGGTTCAATGACACTGAACAGCACTGGGAGGGGCTATGGACAGGATCACCCAGGGAAGGGTATGGAGAAAGAAAACCCTGAAAGAGGCTGGAGTGAGGGGCAGCAGGGGGTCATTCACGCTGGCTCTGCTCTGTTAGCTGAATGACAGCCTCTCTCTCTGAGTCTCACTCTACATCTAACACATCAATTTCATGGAACTACCATTAAAATCACAAAGGATGACCTGCACGGTGGCTCACACCTGTAATCCCAGCACTTTGGGAGGCCAAGGTGGGAGGATTGCTTGAATCCAGGAGTTTGAAACCAGCCTGGACAACATAGTGAGACCTTGTATCCACAAAACTAAAAAATTAAGCAGGTGTGGTGGTGCATCCCTGTAGTCACAGCTACTCAGTCGGGGGCTGAGGCAGGAGGAGTGCTGGAGCCCAGGAGGTCAAGACTGCAGTGAGCTATGATCACTCCACTGCACTCCAGCCTGGGCAACAGAGTGAGGCCCTGTCTCAAAAAAAATAAATAAATAAAAATAAACAAAATCCCAAGAGATGACATGTATTGTGTATCTTCCCTGCACATAGTCAGTGTTTAATATATGTCAACTTCCTTATCTTCTCCCCAGCCTCATCCCCTACTTAATTCTGCAAGAGCGGCATTTTCTGGAAAGCAAACTGACAAAAAGATTGTGTTAGGGTTTCTAACAGGGTAATAAAAATGTGCCCTCTTTGCAGGATGAAAACATTTGAGGATCAGTAAATTAACAGAAAAGAAAGCGGCCCTTATGGTTTTTATTCCAGTTTCAAATAAATCTAGCTACATAGCTTTCCTATGTCTTAAAAACAGAAATAACCTCAAAGAGAAAAAAAATCAGAGTTTCACAGAGGACAGTGGCTTTCCTTCTAGGAAAGGGAAAATGAAGTTTCACGCCGGATAATCCCAACAGCTCTGTTCTCTACCTTCAAGCGTACACAGCCGGGCCTCCGCAGGCAGCCCAATTTTCTGAGAGCAAATTTGAGGAGAGGCTTTGACCCCAGACAGAGAAAGAGATCTTTTCTGGTTTCAATCAGGTCAAACCAAGGGTGGGGTAAGCTCCTCTCTCTAGCCAATAGCCACCCCCTGGTCTTGCCTGGCTGGTCTACTCCTAACATGCCTGGCCCCTTAAGGAACAGGAAGCAGCTGGAGAGATCAAGGCCAGGGAGCGAGGGGCAGAGGGGTCTGGAATCAGGCTGGGCCCTGTCAGTCACATAGGAGTCTGAATTTTGTTCTACGTGCTATTGGAATCCAGTGGGGGAATTTAAGCAGAAGAGGGACAAGCTCTTATTTCCTTTCTATCTAGTGGTGGTGTGGAGTATATTGCAATGGGACATATTCAAAATTGGAAAACCAATTATGGCTGCTTTTACTTGTGTCTTGAAGTTGTTAAAAAGAATTATTGGTCGGGCGTGGTGGCTCACACTTGTAATCTCAGCACTTTGGGAGGCCAAGGCAGGCGGATCACGAGGTCAGGAGTTCGAGGCCAGCCTGGCCAACATAGCGAAACCCTGTCTCTACTAAAAATACAAAAATTAGCCAGGCATGGTGGCACACGCCTGTAGTTCCAGCTACTCAGGAGGCTGAGGCAGGAGAATCTCTTGAACCCGGGAGGTGGAGGCTGTGGTGAGCCAAGATCACGCCACTGCACTCCAACCTGGGCAACACAGCAAGACTCCATCTCAAAAAAAAGAATTATTGCCAGGCCTTCTTGGCTTAAATAAACACAATATTATCTTAAAGAAAGGTCTGGGGGTGGTGCACCACAGCAAGAAACAAAGGTTCTAGAGCAGTAGCTCTCAACTGGGTTAGGGGAATGGTGATTTTGTCACCATCCCCATTCCCATCCCAAAGGACATTTGGCAATCTCTGAAGACATTTTTGGCTATCACAAATAGTCAAATGCCTAGTCTAGATGCCTACTAGACTGGCATCTAGACTGGCATCTACTAATGCTACCATGAACAGGACAGCCGTTCTCAGAAAAGAATCAAACGGCCACAAACATCCAACAGTGTTGAAGTTAAGGAACCCTGTTACAGAGTTGAGTTTGCTGGATTTGGGTCCTAGTTCTCTCACTTAATAACTGTGTGACTTGGGGCAAGTTACTTAACCTCTCGGGGATCTTCTCCACCCTTAAGCCCAATCAATGCCTTTTCCTGCTACCAAGAGATAGAAAAGGAAAATGGAAAGGCTATCTATCCCACCTACCTTACAAGTAGGAAGACCTGCCTGGTACAGCCAGGGAGAGGAGAGAGTAAAAAAAACAGGATAAGAGGGCTTTTCCTACGCAGCCAGCAGAAAGAGGTACCACCTATTTCTAAGTCTCCTCTCTCCCGCCATGGGAAATTGAGAAAGCATGAGGAAAGCTTTAGGAAAAGGAACCCAGCACACTGGCTTTGAAATAGACAAAGCCAGGTTCAATTCTATCTCCACCAAGTAGAAGTTGAGTGACCTTGAGCAACTTAACCTAAATTTCCATTAACTGTAAAATAGGAGTTATCCTTATAATAGTAAAGCATGATAACTAATTTAGTCAATCACTTCAAGAGTTTATTGTCTACTCTGTGTCAGGTAGAGAAATAAATTGTGCAAAGCATCAAGTTACACCCCTGGCACATAACAAACATTCGACAAACAGTATCTTTTTAAAAAATATATCCTTCTGATTTCAAAATGTGTTCACTATAAACTTGTGGAATACACAGTATAGTAGACATATGTTTATCTGCTCAGCATTCCTTTCTTTGGGGAAGCAAACTGTTCCATTTCTATAAAAGCTCTCCTTGGCCCACGTTCACCCCCACAGGCATGCAACCCAGCTGCACCCAATTAGAATATTCCATTCTTCTGGCCACATGCCCAGGAATGGACATGTGAACCAAGCTGAGACAATCGGACTCTTCCCTGGGCTTTTTCTGGAATCCCAAGCTCTAAAGACTACATGAGCATTGCAGAAGGCCATCTTCTTACCATCTGGGCAGAGCCAGTCTGAAAATGGAGCCAGAGACAAGGGATAGAGACATAGTCAAAGACCTGTTGACGTGATCTGAGTCCCTGGATCCAGCCCTACCTGAAGCTGGTTTGACCCTTGGACTCACAAGTTATAAAAGTCAATAAATGCCCTTTCCTTAAGTGAGACTAAGTTAAATTTCTGTCACAACGAAAAGGGGTCAGAATAAGATAAACAGGAAATCATGGTAAGTAAAAGAAATCACCCCTAATCTCAAAACCCAGAGAAACCACCATGACTTTTGAATGTGTGGTCCTCCCAGGTTTTACTGTGGTGATTGTTTGCTTCGTTTCATTTGTATGTTTTGGGAATGACTGGGGTGATTATTTTTAAAATATGAAAATAGGTTTTCAAACCAGACCCCCCTGGGCTTGAATCCTGACTCTGTCCTTTACTTAGCTGTGCGGCTTTAGAAGGTTACCCAATCTCTCTGATACATGGACCATATATAGTTATGTTTTCCTTTTCTTAAAGTTGTAAGTTGACATTTTAAGGGAGAAAAAAAATAGAAAGGTAACAGTTGGAAAACATAAAGGAAACAGACAAATTTAAGGAAAAAAAAGACTAAGCTTCCTGCACTGTTCATTCTTTATTACGCTAGAATGACGGGCTCTGAGCAAACACTGAAGGGATGGGAAGGTGATGGTTGAAAGATCTAAGCACTTTCCAAGGGTTTTTTTATTTGATTAATGAAAAGAATGAGAATAATGTTTCCAGATTTAAAACAAAACCAAAAAACTGGTAAAACAGTTCTCATGGCTGCAACTGGATCAGCCATGTGATACGTCAAAAGGTATGTGTTATTGATTAATTATCAAAGCTCATGAAACTTTTCTTCTATTACAGCAGATTATTCGTGGATGTAGTTAAAATAACTTTGCTCACTCATTGATATGGAATTATCAAAGCTCATGAAACTTCTCTTCTATTACAGCAGATTATTCACAGATGTTGTTAAAATAACTTTGCTCACTCATTGACATGGTTTGGCTCTGTGTCCCCACCCAAATCTCATCTCAAATTATAATCCCCATAATCCCCACATGTGGAGGGAGGGCCTGGTGGGAGGTGATAGGATCATGGAGGAAGTTTCCCCCATGCTGTTCTTATGATTGTGAGTGAGTTCTCCTGAGATCTGATGGTTTTATAAGGGCTGTTCCCCCTCACTCTCTCTCTTTCCTGCCACCTTGTGAAGGAGGTACGTACTTCTCCTTCCACCATGATTGTAAGTTTCCTGAGGCCTCCCCAGCCATGTGGAACTGTAAGTCAATTAAATCTCTTTCCCTTATAAATTACCCAGTCTCAGGTATGTCTCCTTTTTTTTCTTTTCTTTTTTTTTTGAGACGGAGTTTCACTATGTCACCCAGGCTGGAGTGCAACGGTGCGTTCTCAGCTCACTCCACCTCCCACATTCAAAGGATTCTCCTGCCTCAGCCTCCCGAGTAGCTGAGATTACAGGAGCATGCCACCACACCTGGCTCATTTTTATATTACTAATAGAGATGGGGTTTCGCCATCTTGGCCAGGCTGGTCTTGAACTCCTGACCTCAAGTGATCTACCTGCCTCAGCCTTCCAAAGTGCTGGGATTACAGGCGTGAGTCACCGCGCCCGGCCTCAGGTATTTCTTTATAGCAGTGTGAGAATGGATGAATGCTTTCATAATATAGTAACTTCATTCACTTTCACTTTCTTAAGTACAAGATAAAGGACTAGCATTAGAGCATAAGCCATCATTGAGCAAAGTCCATAAAGACTGCGCCTGATGTATCAATTAGCTGTGCTTATGACAAATGATTGTAGTGCTTTCCTCCTCTGAAAGGTTTGGGGTTCCATCAAAACCTGGGGATGCTAAATGCACATGTGTAAAAATCATCCATCCTGTGTCGTGAGAGGAAAAGTTTAACAGTTGGTACTCTGTAGAATACATAACTGAGAAAGCAATGGTAGAGTTCAAATGGTACCATCTGCAAATAATAAGGAACGGTACTCATGGCCTTGGATGACCACACTAATGTACGGAATACAAACCAAAGAAAAGACTTTTCTTATTTTGAGCCAAAATGAAACTCTATTCATTATATCACTGGGACAAAGAGAATGAGAAATACTGGAATGGAAGGAAACGCCTTGTGTAAAACAAACACAGCTAAGAGAAGGAAGCAGGGAACAGACTGTGGATATAGTAGCCAGACTATATAGGAATCTAAGAATCTCAATTTCAAGATTCAGTTTTGAGGAGCTGAGTCAATATTTAAAAGAAAAAAAGAAAACCCAGTACATTGTGTTGTTTTGAGAGTGACCGACCTTCTCCGACACCGGCCCTCGGGATGAACCCTCCAGGTCCTCATGTACACGATCCAGCAACCAGAGCAGGAATTCCAGGGCGTCGTGCTGGGAATTGCCTTGGAACTGAGAGCCGTACTTGGAAACTGCATTCTGAAAGGAAAAAAGGAAATCGAGAGGTGAATTTGGCCCCTTATACAACCAAATGAAGGCTCTGTGAGCACCAGGTCTACCAAGTGGTCATTATTCAGCCCTGACCTGGGATGACAGCACACAAACAGCCGGGGTAGAAATGTTCTTTCACGCCAAAGCCCGTCCTTTTGGGGCAATGTCCCCAAATGGTATGAGGGTCTCTGTATATGGGAGAAGACATTTTCTTCCCAGAGGACTGCTGATGTGTATCCTATCATTTGAAAACCCACAGAGTGGTCTCTGTTGAATATTTTGATACTGTTGACCATCTGACCCACCGAAGCTCTCTTCCTGTGACTGCTGGGGTATGATGCTCCACTAATCTTCCCTCCATTGGTCTATTCTCACGCTGTCTCTCTCTGTTCACCTAGACGGTGAACAGCCTTCTAGCCCTACTTGCTCTCCCTCGCTGATTTCATTCATTCTCATAGCTTCAACTCTTTCTTCTTTCAGAATACCCACATTTGCAGTGAAGTTGATTTCCTTAAACACCATGCATGTAGCTCCTCTACTGCCTCTTTCTAATATGTATGAAATTTAAGGATACAAACTTGTTTCTGTGGTTAGGGCATCAAATGGCTGAGCCAGCCCTTCATTCCTTTGATAAATATGCATTGAGTGCCAACCACACGCCAGGCACTATTCTAGGGACCGGGGATACAACAGTGAACAAAACAGATCATCATCTGTTTGCACTGTTAAAGATGAACATCTGTTTCTTCAACAGGTTCTTCATCTCACTGCCCTCGTGGTGTTTGCATTCCTGGTATCCCTTGCGCTGTCCTTCTGTTAAATTGTGTAGCACCTTTGTCATTTTCTGCATAAATGTACATTCCAACTTTCTAAAAGTTTATTGCAAAGAGTAATATATGCACATACTAAAAAACAATAATTCAATAAGAAAAGGATGATAATGAAGTCTTCCTTCTACCTGGCCTTCATCCCGTGGTACCCCTTCTCAGGGGACAGCCACTTTTAGCAGTTCCTTCAGCATCTCTCCAGGGACTTTTGCTATACATGTGTGAGCATGTGGGCATCTGGGTGTAAGCAAATCACTTGTCTGTGTGTCCACACATGCACATGCACACAGCACGTGATGGCCGTGGGACCCACTCTTAGACTGCAGAGCCAAGTCTCCAGTCTCGTCCCACACAGGTCTGTTCTCTGTTCATGCCTGCCAAAGGGACTGGTTTTAATAAGACTGAGGACCAGGACAATCCTTACCACTGCCAATCAAATCAGGCAGTCTGGGCTTTTTTTTTTTTTTTTTTTTTTTTTTCCTTTCTTTCTTTTAATTTTCCCTTGAGATTTAAAGGAGACTTTAGAGGCCAGGTGCAGTGGCTCATGCCTGTAATCCCAACAATTTGGGAGGCCGAGGCGGATGGATCACTTTAAGTCAGGAGTTCGACACCAGCCAAGCCAATATAGTGAAACCCTGCCTATACTACAAATACAAAAATTAGCTGGGCGTGGTGGTGCACATCTGAAACCCCAGCTACTTGGGAGACTGAGGCAGGAGAATCGCTTGAACCCGGGAGGTAGAGGTTGCAGTGAGGAGAGATTGCACCACTGTACTCCAGCCTGGGTGACACAGTGAGACTCTGTCTCAAAAAAATAAAACTAAAAATAAAGGAGATTTTAGGATGAGACAAAGCAAAAATGCAAGATTTAATTAACTGAAATGCTGGTTCTGAGTCTTTTTTTTTTTTTTTTTAAGACAGTGTTTCACTCTTGTTGCCCAGGCTAGAGTGCAATGGCATGATCTCAGCTCACTGCAATCTCCACCTATGGGTTCAAGTGATTCTCCTGCCTCAGCCTCCCAAGTAGCTGGGATTACAGGCACCTGCCACCACACCCAGCTAATGTTTGTATTTTCAGTAGAGATGAGGTTTCACCATGTTGTCCAGGCTGATCTCGAACTCCTGATTTCAGGTGATCCCGCCCGCCTCGGCTTCCCCAAGTGTGGCTCTGAGTCTTTACGTCAATCACATTAGTTTGGATTCTTCCCCCAGGCTTCTCTGCATGTTGATTCCCAAGTAGGGCTACCAGATTTAGTAAATAAAAATACAAGATGCTCAGATAGATTTGAATTTCACATAAACAATGAATATGTTTTTAGTAGAAATATGTCCCATGCAATATTTGGGACGTATTTACACTAAAAAGTTATTCAATTTTTATCTGCAATTAAAAGTCAGCTGGGCATGGTAAATATTTTTCATCTGGCAACCCTACCCCCAAACAACCCTCAAACCTATCTTCTTGTACCAACATTCTCTTCTGGGTGAGCAGCCGGCCCTTCCAACTCAAAATCTCTAAAACCAGCTCATCCTTTTAATGTAGGTGTCATCTTTCAGGTTCTCCTTCATATCGGTCAGCTGTTAAGCATTCTGGATGCTGGTTCCCAAATGTCTCTACCCTTCCCCTATAGAAGAGTCTCATTCCAACTGTTGAGTTTCACCTACAGCTGACCCAGACAACAATATCTACCTAAGGAGGGACCCAGCCCCTAGGTTCTCCCCTTGCCAACCCACTGACTTCATGGTAGACCAGACCAATTTTCCTATAGCTCAGCTGAATATTGTCATGCTCTGACTCCAAATCGTTCCTTACTCTCCTGCTCACCACCAAATAGTCCAAGCACCCTCTGTCGTTCAGCCCCAAACCATATCATTCCATGTTTCAAAGCTCCAGGTAAGTAATCCACCTAGCTGCCCCAAACACTCTTTCCTACTTCTACAGTCTAGACCTTTACTTTTTTTTTTTTTCTTTTTTTGAAATGGAGTTTTGCTCTTGTTGCCCAGCTGGAGTGCAATGGCACGACCTTGGCTCACTGCAACCTTGGTCTCCTGGGTTCAAATGATTCTCCTGCCTCAGCCCCCTGAGTAGCTGGGATTACAGGGGCCTGCCACCACACCTGGCTAATTTTTGAATTTTTAGTAAAGATGGGGTTTCGCCATGTTGGCCAGGCTGGTCTTGAACTCCTGACCTCAGGTGATCCACCCGCCTCGGCCTCCCAAAGTGCTGGGATTACAGGTGTAAGCCACTGCACTTGGCTTAGACCTTTGCTTTTGTTCTTCCTTCCATGTGAAATCCATTCCTCTCCAGTTAATCATGATGATCTTTTAAGCCTGACACTCTTCATCTTAGCCTGGCTATAGTACCTGACAACCTTTTCAGAAAGGAGGTGACAACTTCAAGAAGCAAGACAAGATAGGGCCTTAAAAATGTCCCTCTCCATAAACAGCAATTCCACTTTTGGTGATTTTGCCTTAGGAAATGAGAGATACAACCAGAGATGTCTGTATATATCAAAGTTATCTGGGTGAAAACTTATGACATACTCAGATGGCCTTAAAATTTATGACTGATGAAATACAAATGATAAAGAAAATAATAATCCGGTCATAGAAGAAAAAATGCAAAAATACATATTTGAGATTGTTTTATGTATATATTTATAGATAGAAAAATAAAAGAGCAGAAAATACATGGCAAAATAGTAGCAAATGGTTATCATAGAATAATGGGATCATGAGCAATTGTTTTATTTTCATTTGTAAATGACAAAGTTTTTTAACAGTGAACATTGTTCTTTGTCTTTTTCCAGTTATAAAGTATTTGGCAGGTATTTCTTGGAATTTTTTTTTAATAACCTATTGATGAATACAGAAGACATTCCCCTAGAAAGTCTATGGAAACAGGCCAGGGGTGGTGGCTCACACCTATAATCCCAGCATTGTGGGGAGCCAAGGCAGGCAGGAAACGAGGTCAGGAGATTGAACCCATCCTGGCTACCAAGGTGAAACCCCGTCTCTACTAAAAATACAAAAAATTAGCCGGACGTGGTGGCGGGCACCTGTAGTCCCAGCTACTCGGGAGGCTGAGACAGAAGAATCACTTGAACCCGGGAGGCGGAGCTTGCAGTGAGCCGAGATGGTGCCACTGCACTCCAGCCTGGGCAACAGAGCGAGACTCCATCTCAAAAAAAGAAGGAAAAAAAAAAAAGAAAGTCTATGGAAACATAACTAGAACTGCACAAAGCAGTTCCCAAACAGTTAACTAGCTTGGGAAGAATTAACTGTAATATTTGGTTACTTATCTCACATCTTTTTTTTCCTTTCTTTTCTTTTCTTTTTTTTTTTTTTTTTGCGCTAAGGGCTTGCTGTGTTGACCAGGCTGAACTCCTGGCCTCAAGCGGTCCTCCCATCTCGGCCTCTCAAAGTGCTAGGATTACAGGCATGAGCCACTGTGCTCAGCCCTAGATTTGGTTATTTCTCTCCTTCAACATGGCATAACTCTACCTGTATGTATGTTTTATTTCCCAAACATTGATAATTTTTAACATTTCTTATTAAAATTATTCCTAGTTATTTCATATTTCTGGTTGTTTTCTGAATACAAATCTAATTTTATATGTTCTAAATGATTATTCCTTTGATTTTCTACCTTCTATCTGGTATCATGAATGACAGTAATAAAGCTAAAATAAGGATTTCTAGCATATTTTAGCAATTTTCTTTCTAATATTTTTTACTCCATTTCCATTTTATGTCTTACTATTTTGTCCAGAACTTCCAAAACACAAGAGTGGTGAAGAAGGCATCCTTGTTTTTAAAAAGCCAAGTCTCCAGTATATCACTGTAGATCTAAAATTGATGCTTAAGCACATAAGCTAATATAAATTCCAGATGGCTAAAATTTTAATATAACCATAGAAAAGCAGGTACGCAAAATCAAATATTTATCATAATGTCTGATATAAATAAATCGAAATCTTCCAATATTGGGGTGGGAGAAGGAGACAGTTTTGAGAAAATATTTGTAGCAAATATGACAAGAACTAAGGAACTTACAGAAACATAAAAACATTGAGACCAAAGCAGAATAGATAGATGCATAAGAACATTGAGCAGATGGGCTGGGTAAAGTGGCTCACAGGTCAGGAGTTCAAGACAAGCCTGGCCAACATGGTGAAACCCTGTCTCTACTACAAATACAAAAATTAGCCAGGCATGGTGGCGCGCGCCTGTAGTCCCAGCTACTCGGAAGGCTGAGACAGGAGAATTGCTTGAACTCGGGAGGCAGAGGTTGCAGTGAGCCAAGATTGCACCACTGCCACACTCCAGCCTGGGTGACAGAGTGAGACTCTGTCTCAAATAAAAAACAAAAAAAACAAACAAAAAAAACATCAAACAGCTGATTCCAAGAGGAGACTTGCAACTAGTAAAGAAACATGGAAAAATCGTCCACCTCGCTCCTAATCAAAGAAATAAAAATAAAAAACTATTTTTGCAAGTTTAGAAGATGATGTTATTTCTTAGGATGCAAAGGCACAAGAGCAATATAATGAACTTTGGTGACTCGAGGGGAAGGGTAGGAGACGGGTGAAGGATGAAAGACTGCACGCTGGGTCCAGTGTCCATTGCTCGGGTGCACCAAAGTCTCTGAAATCACCACTAAAGAACTTATCCATGTAACCAAATACTGCCGGTTCCCCAAAAACCTATTAAAATTTTTAAAAATATGCTATTTCTTTTTGTTCAATAAATTAATAATAAGGGATGAAGATTTATTATACAGCCTGGTGATTACAGTTAATACATTATATACCTGAAAATTGCCAAGGGAATAGATCGTAAATGTTCTCACCACAAAAACATAGGTATGTTGGCCGGGCGTGGTGGCTCATACCTGTAATGAGAGGCCGAGGCAGGTGGATCACTTGGGGTCAGGCGTTTGAGACCAGCATGGCCAACATGGCGAAACCCCGTGTCTACTAAAAATACAAAAAATAGCTGGGCATGGTGGTGCATGTCTGTAATCCCAGCTACTTGGGAGGCTGAGGCAGGAGAATCGCCTGAACCCAGAAAGTGGAGGTTGCAGTGAGCCGAGATAGCGCCCCTGCACTCCAGCCTGGGCGACAGAGTGAGACTCTGTCTCCACCACCACCACAACAACAAAAACTCAATATTTAAAAGTAAGATGGTGACTACACAGGTTCACACATTTGTTAAAACTTCCTAAATTTTATGCTTATAATGGGTACATTTCACTGTATATAGTTTAGACCTCAATAAAGTTTATTTAAAAAGTAAAAATAGAAAGATAATAAAACAGTCATACTTTTGCTTTGACTATGTAATTCCATTTGTAGGAATTAAGCTTATGGGAATAATCACAGCTGAGGACAATGATTTAAATACAAGAAACTTCAATACAGTATAATACTGGAAAATGGAAACTCCATTTCCATTTTATGTCTTACTGTTTTGTCCAGAACTTACAAAACGTAAGAGTGGTGAAGAAGGCATCCTTGTTTTTAAAAAGCCATGTCTCCAGTATATCACTGTAGATCTAAAATTGATGCTTAAGCACATAAGCTAATATAAATTCCAGATGGCTAAAATTTTTAATATAACCATAGATCTCCATAAAGAATTGGTTAATTTAATAATATATTAATTGTTAAAGACTTAATTATTAATGATTGTTGTGTATTATTAAGACTAGGAAAATGTCTTGTAACAATGCTTAAATGAGAAAAGCAGGATGTAAAACTAAAATTTTCAATTGTTTGTATATACCTTGAAACGTATCAGTATATTTACAATGGTTATCTCTAGGGGTTAAAATTACAGATCTCTTTTTTTTTCTACATTTTAACTTTTTTTTTTTTTTTTTTTACAATGTGCAACATTTAATTACATCATTAGAAAAGCACAGAAAATCAAATATTGCGTATTCTCACCTATAAGGGGGAGCTAAATCTTGGGTACACATGGACATAAGGAAGGGAACAATAGACACTGAGAACCGCAGAAGGAAGGAGGGAGGCAGGGGACAAGGGCCGAAAACCTTCCTGTTGAGCACTATGTTCACTATCTGGGTGACAGGGCCAAGAGAAGCTCAAACCTCAGCAACACACAATACACCCTTATAACAAACCTGCACATGTACCCACTGAATCTAAAATAAAAATATAAAATTTAAAAAAAAGAAAGAGAAGAAAAGAATTCTAGGTAATACCACGGACAGGACTTTTCTTTCTGTTTTTCAGAGGGAGTCTCGCTCTGTCACCCAGGCCAGAGTACAGTGGCACGATCTCGGCTCACTGCAACCTCCGCCTCCCAGGTTCAAGCAATTCGCCTGTCTCAGCCTCCTGAGTAGCTGGGACTACAGGCACACGCCACCACGCCCGGCTAATTTTTGTATTTTTAGTAGAGACAGGGTTTCACCATATTGGTCAGAAGGCTGAGGTAGGAGGATCGCTTGAGCCCAGGAATTGAAAACTGTAGTGAGCTATGATGACACCACTATACTCCAGCCTGGGTGACAGAGTGACACTCTCTCTTAAAGAGAGAGAGAGGGAAAGGAAGGAAGGAAGAAAAGAAGGGAGGGAGGGAGAGAGAGAGAGAGAGAGAGGGAGAGAGACAGAAAGAGTGGGAGAGAGAGAGAGAAAGAAAAAGAAAGAAAGAGGAAGGAAGGAAGGAAAAGAGAGAGAGAAAGAGAAACAGAAAGAGAAAGGAAAAGACAAGACTCCTTAAGAAAACCTTGTGTGGTGTGTCTGCAACTAATTCTCCAGCCTTTCCTCCCCAGCCAAGTGGGCTTTTATTCATTTATTGAACTGAAGGTCTCTCGGCCCCACCTCCTTCCCTGGTTGGCATTCCAGTTCCCAGGTCCTGGAATGCACTCTCCCATCTTCCCAAGCCCTTCATTGACACCTAATCCTTCAAAATTCAACTCAGCGGTTGGTTACCTCTCCAGGGAAGCTTTCCCTGCCCACCCCACAGGATCTCCCCCAATCCAATCACATTTTCCTGCTGTAACTGTCATAGCACCTTGTATTTGTCCTTTCTAACATGTTTCTGTTCCAATCATGTGCCTGTGTGATTATTTCATTAACATCCATTTCTACCTCTAGACCATAAGCTCCTGGAGAGCAGCCCCAGAATCTGGGTTTGTACTCATCACTCATCATGCATTCCATGCATTCCTAGTCTACTCTCTGGACATTCAATAAATATTTGTTGAACGAATGTTTCCCCATCTGTAAAATAAGAAGAGCTCACCTAGATTTCAATCCATAATATTTAAAGCCTGGATTCTGGGATCCTCCACTCCTCCCTCCAAAGCTGACTACCCAAAAATCCCAGGAAATTCCAGATTGTATCTCCCTCATTAACATATTACAAACTTGATTATCCTTCAATTCCCTGAGGCTTACTGGGAGCTCCCAGGCCCTGGGGATTTGACAGCGGGAGAGAGATAGGGAATTCTGGTGAGTCATTGAGGGTGATTACTAATTTCGGAGTTTTTTGTTTTGTTTTGCTTTGCTTTTTTGAGACGGAGTCTCGCTCTGTTGCCCAGGCTGGAGTGCAGTGGCGCAATCTCGGCTCACTGCAAGCTCCGCCTCCCAGGTTCACGCCATTCTCCTGCCCCAGCCTCCCCAGTAGCTGGGACTACAGGCGCCCGCCACCACGTCCGGCTAATTTTTTTTTTTTTTTTTTTTTTTGGATTTTTAGTAAAGACGGGGTTTCACCGTGTTAGCCAGGATGGTCTCGCTCTCCTGACCTCGTGATCCACCCGCCTCGGCCTCCCAAAGTGCTGGGATTACAGGCGTGAGCCACCGCGCTCGGCCAATTTCGAAGTGTTTTCAAACTACTGCAGCCCTCTCCCATTGCTGTGGTAACTGGATGGAAATGCATCTAGCAAGAGAAAATGTACATAAAGATTACCTCCCTCCCTGCTCTAGGTTTCTGCAGGTGAGAAGGTGTCGTGATAGAATAATGAACATTTCCTGTGGGGCTGGCACTGTGTTCTACATAGAACTCATTTAATACAACAACCGTATAACGAGGTAAGTACCATTATGGTTCTATATTAAAGATGAAGAAAGTTGCGGCACAGAGAGATCTGGTAACTTGCTCAAGGTCACAAAACTCCAGAGACCTTGCTCTTAACCACTATACTATACTGCCTCTTTCTTAAAAAGCAAATGTCACCAAAAAGAGACATTTAGTGACAACCATTTGACCCACTGGCTGCTGCAGAACAGTGCTTCACTAATGGAGGCAGGAGGGAGGAAGGTGGGGGTTGGCATCTCATGGGTCACATGGCAAACACTGCTTTCTCGGGCTGAAACTCAAGAGCGGTGATGCTTGTGGAATGAACACTGACAGGTTTCCCCCTCCCCCAAGAACAACAATCACTAGTCTGTAGGGAGCTTCAGTTCTCTGCCCAGAGCTGCGGGTTTCTTCTTCTTTTTTTTTCTTTTTTTTCTTTTTTTTTTTTTTTTTTTTGCAGGAAGCAAGCCATGTGCATCAATTATCAGGAACGCTTTAATCCAACTGGGACCCCAAACAAACACCCCGTTTTAATCCCGGGTGAAGTGATACAAACAATTTACAAAGCCTCACGACCCGGCAGCAACCCGAGTAAGTAGACCGTGATCTTGCAGACAATAAAATGCAAGCCCGTGCTCATACATTGTAGGGGATTGAATGCGCCTTAAACAAAAGGATGCTATCTCCAAAATAGCACGCTCACTGCCTTTGCTGGGCACTCAGCACGGTACCTGGCCTGTAGGTTGTCAGATTCCACTGGGCTTAGAATAAAATCCAAACTCTTTACCGTTGCCTCCTAGGTCTTACGTGATCTGGCGAAACTCATCTGCCTCCTAAGCTCCAACGCCACTGCTTTTCTTTCCCTGTCTCCAGCACTCAGCTCCTTCGGGTCTATGGCAATTGTACTTGCTGTTCCTCCTGCCTGGATTAGTCCTACAGCTTGCCCTGACTGCATCCTTCTCATCATTCAGATCTCAACGCAAGCATCACCTCCTTCCTCTGAGGCCTTGGCCTTCAACATCCCATTCCCTACCCCACATCATTCCAGACTGGAAGCTCTAGAGCTGGCATTAGAACACTGTCTGGCCCACAAGCCTTCAATACTTCAACAAATGCTTGTTGAATCCAAAAACGCTGATTACCCTTCAATCTGCCAGCTCACCCCACTCCCTCTCAAAATACCTAGGAGAATTAATTTACAAAGAAAACATAAGCAAGCGACAGCGTAACACATCGACTCAAAACAAAGCCGGTAATCCGGGGCTGAACTGGTCAACGGCATTTAAAGAAGGCCCCAAGAAAACCCTTTCCTGATCGTGCACACACTTTTCAAGAGGCGAAACCAGGGGGACAGGGCGGTCGGCGGCGCAGCGCTGCCTACCTTGAACTCCGCGGAAAGTTGGGGCGTGTATTCGCGAGTCCAGAGCGCGCGCACCAGCGCCGCCAGCTGCTCGGTGACCTCGGCGCGGCCCGGAGCCGCCCGGTAGCGCCCCAGCGCCAGGAACTCGGCCAGCAGGTCGGTGTTGCTGAGACACTGCACCACCGCGTTCATGAAACAGGTGTTGCCGTGGTTCTTCAAGCCCTGAGCGCCCGGCGGCCGCGCCCCATCGCCGGCGGGGAGCTGGAGCTGGGGCTGGGGTCCGGGCGGGCGTTCCTCCCCGGGGCTCCCGGGGGCCGCTGGAACTGGGCCCGGGGCGCAGGCGAAGCCCCCCTCACCGTCGCCATCACAGTGTCCCGGCTGGGGCCGGGGCGGTGAGTCCCCGGGGCGTGAGCGGCTGCCCAGCGCCAGCAGGAAGCGGCTGAACAGGCGGCGCAGGGAGCGGCGGCGGCGGGGCCGGGGCGCGAGCGGTCCCCCTCCTGCCGCGTCCCCGGGGCCCAGGTCCATGGCTGCCGCCGGCGCAGCTCCAGGCGCGGAGCCCCCGGGCGCGAGGCGGACGAGCGGCCAGCAGGCCCTACAGCTTCTCTAAGGCTCCTGGTGCCGGCTACCTGCGGGCCAGGTGTGCGGGGACGGGGCGGAGGCGGAGCCAAGGGCGGGGCAGCCCCGCCCCGCGCGGGAATCCGGCGGCACGACCAGCCCCCTCCAGGGCAGCGCCGGGCCACCCCTACCCCTGCCTGGTGCCGCCCCCGCTGCGCTGACTGGGAGTCTTCGTGGTCGGATTCCCCACCCTTCCTTACCTCGTAAACCGACAGACCTGGGTTTCGCCGCTGCTCCTGTTCCTCGAGCAGCCTTCAAGCAGTGGAAATTACGGAGAAATGAACATTCTGAAAGCGCCTAGTAAATGGTAAAGGCCTGGCTACTGCAGGAAGAAAAGGGCAAGGCAGGCATCTCCAGAGCACAGCCTCGGGCGTGGTGAGAGGCGCGCGCTGGGCGCTGTGTGGGGGTGGGGAGCGCTTTTGTGCACCGCTGGTTCCTCCGCAGGCTCAGGTGTGTGCGGACAGGTGTCGCCACCTCCTTCCAGACCGTCTGCCCCTTGGGGGGAGGCAGAGTCTGTGCCTGCACCCGCCAACCCGGGACCTGAACTGGGAGCCACGTGTTGCCCTGTGAAAAAAGCCCCCGAGTGGTTGTGGTTTGCTTTTTTACACCACAGATTGGGTTAGAATCATTTTCCAAAAACTTGCAAGACTTGATCACCCTTGCTTTAATCGGCAAGGAAGGGGGCTCAGAGAGGTTATCGCAACGTAGGGAGGCCGCCCGATCCGTAAGCAGGGAAACCGGAACTCGACCTGGATCTATGGACTGCCAAGTTCAGGCCCTTTCCAGCCTCAGTATTTGCTAACCAGGAAGTTTTCAGGCTCTCAGGCGCGCCCCCTACGCGGTTTCTGGTTCACTCCTTAACGCACGATCCTTGTTGAATGATTGCCCAATCAGAATTAGTTTGGCCTTGCCCCGCCCTTGATTCCCTGGGTAACCCTGGGCCCCTCCCCCACCCCTCACTTTATCCCATGCAACTGTCAGGTTTATAATTAATCAGGCAAGGTCTTGCAAAATGACTTTCTCGTCAATTTCTAGCTCAGGAAGAGATCAGCACCATGTGAGATGCAGTATTCTAACGCTCTGAAATGTTACTTGTTGTTTAATAAGTGATCATCATTTATTAAATATTCTTGATCCTGGCCGGGCGCGGTGGCTCACGCCTGTAATCCCAGCACCTTGGGAGGCCGAGACGGGCGGATCACCTGAGGTCAGGAGTTCAAGACCAGCCTGGCCAACATGGTGAAACCCCGTCTCGACTAAAAATACAAAATTAGCCAGGCGTGGTGGCGCATGCCTGTAATCCTAGCTACTCAGGAGGCTGAGGCAGGAGAATCGCTTGATTCAGTGAGCCGAGATCGCGCCATTGCACTCCAGCCGGGCGACAAGAGCTAAATTGCGACAAGAGCTAAATTCCGTCTCAAAAAACAAACAAACAAACAAAAAACTTGATCTTTCAAACCGGGTTACAGCAGTTACCTCATGCAAAAAAGCAGCCTTACTTAAAGGATAAATAACATGCTTAAAACATCAGACGGTACTGTGAATCGGAGACTTGCGTTCTGGAAAATGCCATTATTTACCCCTCTCTGGAAAAAGATACCCGGCTGGGTGATTAATACACAAGGACACAAGGTCCATTTCATCACCCTTCTGGTGGAAAGCACAGAAGAAAGATGTAATGGCCAACTCCAATAAAGCATCTCTGTAATTTCATCTTTCTTTGGTAATTGTCCTGAGATCCCCAACACCACACATTTTCTTTGAGAAAGCATGCATATTTCTCTCTACCCTGTCAGGAATTCTGCCGATGCTTTAGTACATTAGTCACTTAATTCTCACAATAACCTTTTGAGCAGGAACTTACTCTTGCTTGACAAAAGAGAAAATTGTGGCTCAGAGAATTTTTAAGAAGCCTGCCCAAGATCTGGATTTAAATCTGAGTCTAGTCCCATATAGCTTGACCAATGAAATGGCAATTAAGAAGGAAATTCACCTCACCTTATTTTTAGAGGATAATAGCAATGCTGTCTGTGCACAGATCATGAGGAAGGTCTGTGGGTTTTGCAGAGTTGCAGAAAACAAATTATAACAGAAAACCAACAACTAAGAATTTATTCAAAATGTTAAAAGTTCTAATTAGAGTCTGCACAAATTATTCTTGAACATACTTCAATTTTAATATGCAATTTAAGAATATAAAATGCATTCTATAAAGAAAAAGAGAAAAATTGACTCAAGAACAAAAACAGAGCTGTGAGAAATGAAGACTAGTGTTGGAGTTATCTAAACTCAGTCTTCAACAGGACTGCGTGCAACGCCAAGGCTCAGAGACATCTCATCAGCTTCAGGAGGTATATGGGTACTTCCATCGCAAAATGGCTCCATCGGCACTTACACTAACAATATATTGATTTCCTGGACTTATGCGGATGCGTGTGATGTTGCCACTGTGTCCCACCCCAACGTGAGTCACTTCACCCTCATTATAATCCCAAACTTTGACCAGATGGTCATTTCCACCTGAAAAAGATAAACACGTATATGGCATTGCTGCAATAGGAGAGAGAGAAACAGCCCTGATTTCAAATAACTGGATCATTTTCAACATGGTCCCCATGTATCTGTCTTTATAATAACACTTTTACTTGATTATAAAAATCTATCTGTTGCAGTAAATTTGAAGAGGAGGGGGAAATACAAAGAGGTAAAATCACATTTCATCCCACTACCCAGAAATAACCACTAGTAATATCTTGGCTTAGTTCCTTCCAGTCTTTTCTCTATAAGTATACTGGTATACATATACATCATATATATGATTGGGATCACACTGTGTCTAGTTTGATACCTGCTTTGTAGTCAATGTACTTGTGAAACTTAATTCATTTCATGCATTTATTTATTTTTTACTTATTTATTTATTGAGACGGACTGTCTGTCACTCAGGCTGGAGTGGAGTGGCATGATCTCAGCTCACTGCAGCCTCCGCCTCCCAGGCTCAAGCAATTCTCCTGTCTCAGCCTCCCAAGTAGCTGGGATTATAGGCGTGCACCACCACGCCCGGCTAATTTTTGTGTTTTTAGTAGACACAGGGTTTCACCATGTTGGCCAGGCTGGTCTCAAACTCCTGACCCCAGGTGATCCACCTGCCTTGGCCTCCCAAAGTGCTAGGATTACAGGCATGAGCCACCACGCCTGGCCGCATTTATTTGTTAATATCCTGATGAATCAAAGAGCTTGGCAGGAAATGATAATGATGTTCCAATCGGCATGTTGTGTGGTAAATGCCCCTTTGAAATATTGGTTAATTCATTTGTTTTGGTGGGAAGGGCATCGCATCATGCAATAATAAAGTGGAATTAAAAGACTGGCTTTTAAGACTTTAGAAGTATGCTGGACAGCCCAGGCCATTTAAAGGCCCCATTTCTATTATCAATGCCCACCAAAAATAGCAAGCCTAGCAATCTAAGTCTTGGCTTTTATTTGTGCTCTTAAGGCTCTTGTGCAAATGTTTCCTCTCATTGAAATGTGACTTCTGGATTTTTCTTTCTCAGCCACATTGGCTGCAGTATTGGTTGGAATCTGATTCTAACCAAGTTGCCTTGAGACCCTTTTGTTGTCTTTTCCAATTGCCTCTAGCCTGGGAGTTCCTTCCATGTCCTCGTCTAAATAAGCCAGGCTTGGCTTTTTCCTATCCCAGGACTAACCTGTGACAAAGTGCACCCCTTCCTGTGTGATATCCATGCCATTTATCGACCCAGACAGGGAACCTTCCAATTCTCTGATTACTGTCCCATCAAATACTTCCCAGTAAGCAATCTGGAATTCAGGAAAGAAGCATTAAGCAGGACTCAGCTCAGGAGAGTCATCCATGCACATGCTAACAAAAGATGGCTCTACTTTATATAGAAGGGAGCAAAAATACACCACGGGATGATACTGGCTGAAATTATAAATAGGCTACAGCAGGGGGTGGCAAAACCATTTTAATATTTTTAGTATTGGTTTTAAATTTGCATTCTATTTAAAGACATGTTGATGTGCTGATAAACCTGGATTAAGACAGAAAGGGCTTTTGATAAGACTAAGAAGATTCAGCCTGAAGCAAGCTGTAAAAGAAAGAACAGCCTCTGCATCCACAGCTAAGCTTCAGGCCTGGAGGGAGGAAAAGCATTTTCTTCCTTCTCACTGGGGGATGAGCACTCCCCACTCCCCAGAGTTCTAGAGACTGGGCTGTACAGGCACCCTCCCACTGGGACTGCGCCCTCCCTCTTCCTCACACCACCCTTATTCCCAACTTTCCCTTCTGCTCCAAAGCACTGAAATATTCCACAGGGTAGAGTTTAAAGAGGAACTGGTAACCTTGGTTCCCTGTTGGGGAGCAGAACTACCTTAGGGATGGAGAGACAGGTGCCTAAAGGAGGGTGATTTTTTTCCTGAATATACTGCCTTTGTACCTTAAACTTTGTGAATGCACAATCTATTCAAGATTTAAATTTCCTTCTTAGGAAAGAATGCTTCTGTTTATGATAGCAAAGACAGGGAATCAACCTAAATGCCCATCAATGATAGACTGCATAAAGAAAATGCGATACGGCCAGCTGGGTGCAGCGGCTCACACCTATAATCCCAGCACTTTGGGAAGCCGAGTTGGGCCCGTTGCTTGAGGTCAGGAATGCGAGACCAGCCTGGGCAATATGGTGAAACCCTGTCTGTACTAAAAATACAAAAATTAGCTGGATGTGGTGGCACACACCTGTAGTGCCAGCTACTTGGGAGGGTGAGGCATGAGAATCACTTGTACCCAGGAGGTGAAAGTTGTAGGAGGTTGCAGTGAGCTGAGATTATGCCACTGCACTCCAGCCTGGGTGACAAAGTGAGACTCTGTCTCCAAAAAAAACAGAATAAACTTAAGAAAATGTGGCAGATATATACCACGGAATACTATGCAGCCATGAAAAGGAACAAGATCATGTCCTTTGCCGGGACATGGATGGAGTTGGGAGCCATTATCCTCAGCAAACTAACGCAGGAACAGAAAACCAAACACCACATGTTCTCACTTACAAGTGGAAGCTGAAGGATGAAAAGAGATGGACACGTGGGGAAACAACACACTCTGGGGCACCTGTCGGGGGGTGGTGGGTGGGGGGAGGAAGAGCATCAGGAAGAATAGCTAATGCATGCAGGGCTTAATACCGAGGTGATGGGATGATCCGTACAGCAAACCACCACGGCACATGTTTACCTATGGAACAAACCTGCACATCCTGCACATGTACCCCTGAACTTAAAGTTGAAAAAAAAAAAAAAAAAAAGAGTGCTTGACCAGGAATCAGGAGTGCAAACCTGCACGTGCATTTCATTTGTTTCTCATTGTTTCATGTCGGAAACGTGCTGTGTTCCAGTCACTCTGCCAGGAGTCTGTATTCCTCTGAATCTAGCTAGACATTATGCATACTATTTCTTGTTAATTTTTTTCTTTTGCTTTGTAATGTCTGTTGATGCTTGATCATGTTAACAAAAAAGTTCTGATTTCATAGTAAACGCCTAAAGAGATAGAAAACCATGCCAGAACCCATGTTTCTCAGGATTCACACCCACAGAAGTAGTTGGAACTTGACTGCCTGCCTTCCCAGCCAAAGAAGCCAAATTGACACTCTCCTGGGCAGCCCCAGTAGGGCTCCATCTTACTGGAGTGTCCTCTGCCAGAGATGCCCTTCCTTGAGGTCTAGGCATTGACTGAGTCCTTCTGTCATTCAGGCCTCACTCAGATGCTGCTCCTTAAGGAGGCCTTCACCCACCACCCCAGCTGAAGGAGCTTTCCCCCGCCCGCCAGTATCATGTCACCAGTTCTATCTCCTTTCTCAGTCCTTTCACCATCTCATCTCTTGTTCACTTGTTATTCATTGTCCATTCATGGATTGGTTCATGTGTGTATTAGCCAATTCCATCCCCTCCTACCCAAAATAAATTAGGGAAGTAAGGTTCATGAGAGCAGGGACCCCTTGCTTGCTCCAAGGGTGAACATTCCCCCAAACAGAAGGATGAACCTTCACCTTCCTCTTTAGCTGGGAAATCTGTACCATATGTAGAATTTTTTTTTTTTTTTAAGAGAGAGTCTTGCTCTGTCACCCAGACTGGAGTGCAGTGGTGCAATCTTGGCTCGCCGCAACCTCCACTTCCCAGGTTCAAGCAATTCTCATGCCTCAGCCTCTTGAGTAGCTGAGATTACAGGCACCCGCTACCACACCCTACTAATTTTTTGTATTTTTTGTAGAGATGGGGTTTCACCATGTTGGCTAGGCTGGTCTCGAACTCCTGACCTCAGGTGATCCACCCGCCTCAGCCTCACAAAGTGCTGGAATTACAGGCATCAGCCACCACGCTTGGCTCCGTGTGTAGATTTTTAATGTATTGATGAAGTACAGTGCTGAGAGATGAGGAGCTCTATTGCCTTTCTGTCTGAATTTAGTCAAAGTGATAACCGGTTTGGGCACAGCAATTCTACTCCAGTCTCAGAAATTCCCTAATAATAAAAACCAATCTATTGAGTACCTACTATGTGCCAGACCCCCTGCTATAAGCACCATGAGCAAGCATGACTTTAATCCTTACTCTATGAGGTCAGTGGTACCATTTCCACTTAACAGGTGGGGAAGTGAAGACACTGGAAGGTGATATGGCCTTTCCAAAGTGGCATGGCTGATTGATGACAGACCACCATTGGAAACAAGGTGGTTTGACTCCAGAGCCCGCACCCTCCACCACAACGCCTCACTGCTTTTCTCTTGCGCTGGAAAGATCTCATCTCTCACTGGGAGGACTCACCTTTCTGTCTGTTCCGCTGGTGATGATCTGGAACTCCTCAGGGTGATAGCACACACACTGGAATAAGGTGTTGGCTAGTATCATCTGATTCCTCCTGAGACGCCTGGAAAGTAGATTCAAAAGCTGTGAAAGTCGACTTTCTCTTCCCTAGGAAATTTATTCACTATTCAAGCTGGATTTGGTGCAAGCTGGGATTTGGGTTGGTTTATCTCCATGCCAAACATCTCATACTGCTCAGCAAAGTGGTGCTTGTATTTCTTCAAAACAGACTTCAGGTCACCCTGTCCTCTCTACTTCTGTGTACTCCGGTTGGCCTATCAGTGACCACCAGAGGACAATGGGAAGGGCCCTTTCCTAAAGACAGAGCACGAAACTCAATGAGAACCCTTAAGTTCCAGGGAAGAAGAAGCAGAAGAGGCTGAACTCACAGCCAACCTGCTGCCTCCCACACAATGTACTTGAGTCCTGAGGCCACCATTTGGAAGTGGAGCTCCCTACAGTCTGAGAAGCAGAATGTGGGGAAGGGTATTTTATTTTGTTTATGTTTTAATCATCGATGTATCTTTAATTCACAAATAAAAGCTGTAGCAAGATGTCATGTACACATTTGTACACAGGTTTGGACGTACCATATCATGCACAACCCTCGGAAAGCACGAGCCTGTCACGTGGGGATGTCCCAAAAGCTGGCAGGCTCAACCCTTGTCTGCATATGGTAAGAAGTCCCTCCCAAGACCCACCCCCTACCCTGCCCAGGGTGCCCCCAAGAGGGAGCTGGCCTCCCGCAACTGAAGAGAGCCCGGCCTGGGAAGGGTATTTTTAAAATGGGTATTATGGGCCGAGTGCAGCAGCTCACGCCTACAATCCCAGCACTTGTGGGAGGCCAAGGTGGGCAGATCACCTGAGGTCAGGAGATTGAGACCAGCCTGGCCAACATGGTGAAACCCCGTCTCTACTAAAAATACAGAAATTAGCCAGGCGTGGTGGCGCATGCCTGTAATCCCAGCTATTTGGGAGGTTGAGGCAAGAGAAGCACTTGAACCCGGGAGGCAGAGGCTGCAGTGAGCCAAGATCATGCCACTGCAGCACGCCTGGCCAGGATCTGCATTTTAAACCAGCATTTCAGTTGATTTTTATGTGCATAATAGAACCCCTGCCTTAGATACTGTACCAAGAAATATGTAAATATCGCTTCTCCTTCCACAGACAATGTGGTGGGTGGCCATCTCACAGGCCAGGCTTTCCTGGCTAAAAAATGCACCTTCTGCACAGTTTCTTCTCATTATGGAAGTTTTCAAACGTGGTATCTGAGCTGAGCATTTTTAAAGATTTTGGCACAAGAATTCCTGCTACACAACGGAACAGCTTTAAGGATTTGAGGCAGTCACAAAGCATCCATAGAAATAAGTTCAGACATGTCCTTCTAGTTCTATATTTTCCCAGGAGGAAGGTCAGGTATAGCCTAACACTTCCTACAAGTGTGGTCCTTGAACCAGCACTCTCAGTTGGCAGCTTCTTAGAAATGCAGAATCTCAGGTACCATGCTAAATTTAATGAATCAAAATCGACATTTGTAACAAGATCCCCAGGAGACACACAGGGCTAGAAGACAAAAGCTTGCTTTGTCGGGTTTTTTTTTGCTTTTTTGTTTGTTTGTTTGCTTTTTTGATACGAAGTCTCACTCTGTGGCCCAGGCTGGAGTGCAGTGGTGCGATCTCAGCTCACTGCAACCTCCGCCTCCCGGGTTCAAGCGATTCTCCTGCCTCAGCCTCCTGAGTAGCTGGGATAACAGGCACGCGCCACCACGCCCAGCTACTTTTTGTATTTTTAGTAGAGACGGGCTTTCACCATGTTGGTCAGGCTGGGCTCAAACTCCTGACCTCTTGATCCTCCCACCTCGGCCTCCCAAAGTGCTGGGGTTACAGGCGGGAGCCACCGCGCCCAGCAGTGCTTTGTGTTTTTTAATGTATTAAGTACACATTGAGTTCTCATTCCCATCAAGCGTATCTCATGTTCTTTGTCGTGCGTGCCTCCTTCCTCCCATCTTTGCACTTATCCTCGTCTCTCGTATGCAGTGATATAGAGGCAGTGCCTCGTAGGAGGGGTAGAGGGGTGATAGGTGGGTGGGGAGAGGGGTGGAGGAATGGCATCCGATTCTAAAATAAAAACACAGCAAAAATGCTTATAGTCAAAAATTCAAAAAGCCACTGTTCAAAAATCCTTTGAGTTACTCCTACAATAAAGTTCACAGGCTTTGGTCTAGTTAGTTTGAAGTTAGTCATTCTATGGGGGTGTGATACGCTCGGAGCATAAGAGGTCCCCGGGAATGCAGCCAACCGAGGGGAAAGGCAAATGTATGTCCCACCAGCATCCCTCCCCTCCATGGGAAGTTCATTCTGGGCTTCACCTGACTAACTGGAATGATAAGAGGCACTGCCTGCATTAGTTATTTTTCTTTCTCTTTCTTTCTTTCTTTCTTTCTTTCTTTCTTTCTTTCTTTCTTTCTTTCTTTCTTTCTTTCTTTCTTTCTTTTTTTTGAGACAGAGTTTCACTCTTGTTGCCCAGGCCAGAGTGCAGTGGCATGATCTCAGTTCACTGCAACCTCCGCATCCTGGGTTCAAGCGACTCTCCTGCCTCAGCCTCCCAAGTAGCTGGGATTACAGGCACCTGCCGCCACGCCCAGCTAACTTTTTTTATTTTTAGTAGAGAAGGGGTTTCACCATGTTGGCCAGGCTGGTCTCGAACTCCTGACCTCAGGTGATCTGCCCACCTCAGCCTCCCAAAGTGCTGGGATTACAGGCAGAAGCCACCACGCCCGACCTTGCATTCGTTATTTTTCTTGCCCCCTTTCATTTGGGACACTTAGGGTTGAATTCGTGTAAGTTAAACCATGCTTCACTGTGTGGACACAGAAAGCTATTTCCCTATCTGCCCAGAAACTTCTAACATTCAGTTCTTCCTGGAAATTGTAACCCTCCCCACTAGCATCGATAAACCATGGACCGTCATGAACGGCTTCTGATGAACATCCCTTTACTGTGTTGCCTTAAATAAGATTTCTACCCTCCATGTGAATCTTCTCTCATGTTCAATAAACTGTTGGCATGATTGGATTTTGCAGGTATCACTGCATCCTCCCCATCACAGGTACCTACACAAGGTCCCAAATGATACAAGTCCCATCGGTGCTGGCGGTGACACACTCCTCGTTGTTCCTCTTCACCCTAATGCAGGACACTGATGACTTGTGTTCCTTCAGGGCCTCCTCCAGCTTCTGGGTCTGACAGCCTATCTGCCATACCCTCACCTGAAAGCCACAGAGCACAGGATCTTGATCCACACTTGGGACTTCTGAAGGGATAGGAAAAGATTCCAAGAGCTTTTTCCCCTTTGCTATGCTTGATTTGTGTTTTTTTAATTCCCTGTCTTTGTCTCGGTTGGGTGGGGTGTGAATGCTAAGTTGAAGGGCAGGCATATTCATGTATAAGATGTGATCATCTTCAACAGAGCTTCAAAAATGCTACTAACAATCCTGTACCTGCTTGTACATACAGGCTGAGAAATTTAATCAGACACCTGCTATGCAAATCGATAATGCAAGGGCCAACGCAAAACCAAGTGAAATAATGTCTATTCACTTTTGCTGATCACTGCTCTCAAATTTCTGGTACTGTCAGGAAAGTTCGTGAGTACCCAGAGCTATATTTAAACTTTCACAATCAGCTGTTCAATTTTGATCATTTAAAAGCAATGGTTCCCAACTCTACTGAATCCAATACCTATTTTATATCACAAATATTTCCAAATACCTGTGTATTATCCTGGAGTGAAATTCATAGGTAATACAACTACCTACACACAAAATTTAAAATCATTAATATGATGCTTTAATAAAAAGGATAGATAAAAGGGAAGTTGTTTAGTTAGTATGGTATTCCTTCATTTTTTGAGATGGAGTCTTGGTCCGTCTCCCAGGCTGGAGTGCAATGGCGCGATCTCGGCTCACTGCGACCTCTGCCTCATGGATTCAAGCAATTCTCCTGTCTCAGCCTCCCAAGTAGCTGGGACTACAGGAGTGCACCACCACACCTGGCTAATTTTTGTATTTTTTTTTCTTTTTTTGAGACAAAATGTCGCTCTGTCACCCAGGCTGGAGTGCAATGCAATGGCGTGGTCTCGGCTCACTGCAACCTCCAACTCACCACGCCTGGCCTAATTTTTGTATTTTTAGTAGAGACAGGGTTTGGCCATGTTGGCCAGGCTGGTCTCAAACTCCTGAGCTCAGGTGATCCACCTGCCTCAGCCTCCCAAAGTGCTGAGATTACAGGCGTGAGCCACCAGGCCCAGCCAGTATTCCTTTAATGGACAAAGGATCTGTCACAACTACACCAGAAAACATAGTAGTCAGATGCTTACGCCTTCTTATAGTGCCTATGTTGGATTTATGAAAAATAAGATGAGCACAAACTATTCTGTTCTTCCTATGACAGGGGATTAAGGAAAGGAAAAGAAAATATCTCAAAGAGAAAGGGAAGGCTTTGGGATAGCAAAGAATCTGGGGCACAGAGGAGGAGAGAACCAGAGAAAAATGTGTGAGCAAAAGGTGTTACAGCCTCCTCAAAATAATGGGAAGAAAAAGTTGAGCATGATCATTTAAAAATAATGGTCAAAACGTCTGGGTGTATTTAATAATTGATGCTAAAACCATCACCTGCTTTAAAAGATAAGATGGGCCAGGCGCGGTGGCTCACGCCTGTAATCCCAGCACTTTGGGAGGCCGAGGCAGGCGGATCACGAGGTCAGGAGATCGAGACCATCCTGGCTAACACGGTGAAACCCCGTCTCTACTAAAAAAATACAAAAAAAAATTAGCTGGGCGTGGTGGCAGGCACCTGTAGTCCCAGCTACTCAGGAGGCTGAGGCAGGCGAATGGCGTGAACCCAGGAGGCGGAGCTTGCAGTGAGCCAAGATTGTGCCACTGCAGTCCAGCCTGGGTGACAGAGGGAGACTCTGTCCGTCTAAAAAAAAAAAAAAAAGATAAGATGACAATTCGTACAACCACGATCCTCGGAGGAAAAGAGCAAGCAAGCCAAAACACTGGCAAAACACCCGCATGAATTCCTTAACTCTAGTCCACATAGAACACTTTCATGTCTGTATTGTAAACGTCCTTTCTGTGTACAAATGTACTTAGATATATATTTATAGGCCAGGCATGGTTGCTCATACCTGTAATCCCAGCACTTTGGGAGGCCAAGGCAGGTGGATCATCTGAGGTCAGGAGTTTGAGACCAGCCTGGCCAACATGGTGAAACCCCATCTCTACTAAAAATAGAAAAATTAGCTGGGCATGACGGTGTGCGCCTGTAATCCCAGCTGCTCAGGAGGCTGAGGCAGGAGAATCGCTTGAACCCAGAAGGCAGAGGTTGTAACGAGCCAAGATTGAGCCACTGCACTCTCCAGACTGGGTGACAGAGTGAGACTCCATTTCAAAATAAGTATACATTTATAATATTAGAACTTTTATTTATGACATATTTTCAGATCTCATCAAAATGTCAATTTGGTCCTGCTTGAATACTAGCAAAGGTGTGTATTTTTAAAAGCAAATAGATGGCTTCCTATAGGGCAGTTGTTCTAAACAGAGCGTTATTTTTTCAAATTTCTGCTTTCAATACCTCCCCTTCCCCACCGCCACTGATGACCCTTTTACAGTCACTGGTGGTGGCGATGGCGGTGACGCCGATCCTGTGAGCATTGTTAATGACATACATCAGTCGGCCTGTCTCTGGGGCGAAGGCTCGGATTTTACCGTCGTTCCATGCTGGCATGAAAGGGAAACAAAAGGCAGGCAGGATCAGTATATGCACCCTCTCTCCACAGTCTGCTGGCCTCACTAAGGAGAGGCAGGCCTGGTGAGTGGTGCTGTGCTGGAGGAAAGAGACCAGCTCAGCTGAATGCTGGTCACCATAGGCCCCTTTCCCTTCTACAGGTTGCCACCACCCATCCAGTTGCCTAAGCCAACAGCCTGAGTCTTCCTTGATTACCCTCAATTCCATCTACCCAACCCAATCCAACATCCAATCCATCAACAATTTCCACCAGCTTTACTGTTAAAAAACATTCAAATCTGAGCACCTCTCAACAGTTCCACTGGTACCTCCTTCATCCAAGGCACCACCATCTTTCTCCTGGATTGTGATAACAGCTTATGCTTGCTTCCACTCTTGCTTACAACCACTTATTTATGCAGGGATCAGTGTGGCCTTTTAAAAATTATGTCATCTTCTTGATCAAGAACTTCCTTTTTTATTTAAAAAAAAAGGCTTATATCTATAATCTCAACACTTTGCACTTTGGGAGGCCAAGGTGGGTGGATTGCTTGAGTCTAGGAGCACAAGACCAGCCTGGAAACATGGCAAGACCCAGTCTCTACAAAAAATATGAAAAAAAAAAACAAAAAAAAACTTGCCTCGCATGGTGGCATGCCCATTTAGTCCTAGCTACTCGGGAGGCTGAAGTAGGAGGATCACTTAAACCTGGGAGATGGAGGTTGCAGTGAGCCAAGAGTCCGCCACTGCACTTCAGCCTGGGCAACAGAGCAAGACCCTGTCTCAAAAAAAGAAAAAAAAAAGTGGAGGCTGGGCGCAGTGGCTCATACCTGTAATCCCAGCGCTTTGGGAGGCCAAGGCAGGCGGATCACTTGAGGACAGGAGGTGGAGACCAGCCTGGTCAACATGGCAAGACCCCACCTCTACTAAAAAAAATTACAAAAATTAGCTGGGCATGGTGGCAGCATGCCTGTAATCCCAGCTACTCAGGAGGCTGAGGCAGGAGAATCGCTTGAACCCGGGAGGCGGAGGTTGCAGTGAACCGAGATCACAGCACTGCACTCCCAGCCTGGGCAACAGAGCACGACTCCATCTCAAAAAAAAAAAAAAACTTTCCAAAACATTTTCCCACTGCACTTAGAATTAAAATCCAATCCAAACTCCTTTATCCTCCACGGTAACTAGTATTTGTGCCCGACCCCCAACCCCCGCCATCTCTTTTAACTTCTTTTACTGGCTGTCCCTGCACCCCTAGCCCAACTACCCACTAAGCCCCAGACACACTGGCCCTCTTGCTATTCCTCAAATCCACCAAGCGATCTCCCTCCTGAGGGCCTTTGCACTTGCTATTCCCTCTGCCTGGAATGTTTTCTCCCCAGGTCTTCAAATGGCTGGCACCCTCTCATAAGCTTTAATGTCACCTCTTGACCTTAGCAGTTTAAAATAGAATGCTAAAGGTAGATCCCATTTCAGCAAAGATTTGAGGAGGTGAGGGGGTGAGGGAGTGAGCCATGGAGGTATCTAGGGAAAGAATATTTCAGGCAGACATAAGAGTCAGAGCAAAGGCTCTATCTATGCCCAGTGTGTTTGAGGAACAGCAAGAAGAAAGTATGGCTAGAAGGGGTGAGTAGTAAGAGGAAGAGCTCCAGGTAAGAAGGTAAAGGAGGACAGAAATTCACATGGAGCCTTGTAGGTGATGGGGGGATCTTTGTCATTTACTCTTAGAGGGTAAAAGACTTTTGAGCCCTAAATATGGCAAATTCTGACTTATGTTCTTTCTTTCTCTTTCTTTCTTTCTCTTTCTTTCTTTCTTTCTTTCTTTCTTTCTCTCTCTCTCTCTCTCTCTCTCTCTTTCTTTCTTTCTTTCTTTCTTTCTTTCTTTCTTTCTTTTTTTTGAGATGGAGTCTGGCTCTGTTACCCAGGCTGGAGTGCAGTGGTGCGATCTTGGCTCACTGCAACCTCCACCTCCCGGGTTCAAGAAACTCTCCTGTCTCAGCCTCCCGGGTAGCTGGGACTACAGGCTCCCGCCACCACGCCCGGCTAATTTTTGTATTTTTAGTAGAGATGGGGTTTCACCATATTGGTCAGGCTGTTCTCAAACTCCTGACCTCAGGCGAAACCCCATCTCTACTCAAAAAATTACAAAAATCGGGCAGGGCGCAGTGGCTCACGCCTGTAATCCCAGCACTTTGGGAGACCGAGGCGGGCGGATCACGAGGTCAGGAGATCCAGACCATCCTGGCTAACACGGTGAAACCCCGTCTCTACTAAACATACAGAAAAATTAGCCGGGCGTGGTAGCGGGCGCCTGTAGTCCCAGCTACTCGGGAGGCTGAGGCAGGAGAATGGCGTGAACCCGGGAGGCGGAGCTTGCAGTGAGCCGAGATCGCGCCACCGCACTCCAGCCTGGGAGACAGAAAAAGACTCCGTCTCTTAAAAAAAAAAAAAAAAAAATTACAAAAATTAGCTGGGCATGGTGGCGCATGCTTGTAATCACAGCTATGTAAATCAGGTCCAGGTGCGGTGGCTCACGCCTCGGCCTCCAAAGTGCTGGGATTACAGGCGTGAGCCACCGCGCCTGGCCCTGACTTACATTTTAAAACAGACCTCTGGCTTCTGGCTTCTGGCTTCTGTGTCGAAAACAGACTGCGGGAAAGTATACTGGGTGAGAAGAGAAGCAAGGAGACGTGGTAGGAAGGTACGAGGGCAATCTAGGGGAGAGATGCTGGTGGCTAGGATAAGGGGGAAGATAATGAGGGGTGAGGGACCTTGGATGTACTTTGAAATGAGCATCAGCAGGGGATGTGGATGTGGGCATAAGAGAAAAAGGGGAGGCAGTGAGGACTCCAAGATTTCTGTCCTGAGCCGTGTTCGCTCTAGATGTAAGGTAAGCCCAGAGCTCCTGGCAGCCCTATGTGGAGAAGACATGCGCAGGGTGGGGTAGGGACGCTAACAAGGAGGAGAAGACAGGGCCAAGAAAAGAGGAGTGAGGACCGGGTGCAGTGGCTCACTCCTGTAATCCCATCACTTTGGGAGGCCGAGGCGGGTGGATTGCCTGAGGTCGGGAGTTCAAGACCAGCTTGGCCAACATGGTGAAAACCCGTTTTTACTAAAAATACAAAAAATTAGCCCATCGTGATGACACACGCCTGTAGTCCCAGATACTTGGGAGGCTGAGGCAGGAGCGTGCCTGTAATCCCAGCTACTCTGGAGGCTGAGACAGGAGAATTGCTTGAACACGGGAGGCAGAGGTTGCAGTGAGCCTAGATCGCGCCATTGCACTCCAGCTTGGGCAACAAGAGTGAAACTCCATCTGAGAAAAAAAAAAAAAAAGCAAGCAAGCAAGGAAGAAAAAAGAAAGAAGAAAGAAAGAAAGAAAAGAAAAGAAAGAAAGAAAGAAAGAAAGGGAAAGAAAGAAAAGAGGGGCGAGATGGTTTCCTGGTGTCACCATTTTAATAGCTGTCCCTAAAGATCCACTGAACTTTTCATTGATGTGAAGCAGTATGTGTACTTTCTGAGCACTGGGGAGACTTACAGATAGATTTAGCATAAGACAATACTGAGAAATTACTGTTTTAAAGGAAAACATTTTTAGAGATACATGCTGAAGTCTTTAGAGGTGGAATATCACGCTGCCTATAATTTATGCTAAATGGCATAAAATAATAAATTGAGTTAAAAATAAATTCCCTTTGAGACATCACTTCGTTTGAGTCAGGGTTTTATCTCTTACACAACAAAAAGGGTCCTCACATGGGGGACCTGTCCTTTTCAAACTCCTTTTCAAAATTGAACTTCTAAATTTTCCTACTAGAGAGAAAGATTCACGCTATATGCAGCAATGTGGGAGAGGAGAAATTGCTATTTGGTCCTTCCTAGCTCAGAAAGTCTCCCAGCTGGAAGGAAACTCCAAAGAGAGGCTAGATTAGAAGCAAGAAGGGGGTGGACAGTGGGAGGCTGTTCTAGGTTATCCACATGTAGAGACTAGTATGGGAGGAGAGTGACAAGAATCAAAACCGCAGCTAGAGCCCCAAGCCAGATCTTGACATGTGGACGTTACCTGAAATGATGCTTTTGCCGTCCCTCATGAAGTCGATGCCGTGGCAGGTCATGTTGGGCACGGTGATCCGCAGCAGCTCCCTGTTGGATGATGTGTGCCACACCCTGATATCCTTCTTGGCACAGGTTGCAAATAGCTCAGCAGTGCCACTGCAAGGAAGCCATCAAGAGATGCAACCATAAAAGATGCAGTTTCCCAGATGCATATTTGACACCAAAATGTGTTTCACAAAAATATAGGAAAAGGCTGGGCGCGGTGGCTCAAACCTGTAATCCCAGCACTTTGGGAGGCCAGGGGGGTGGATCACGAGGTCAGGAGTTTGAGACCAGCCTGACCAACATGGTGAAACCCCGTTTCTACTAAAAATACAAAAATTAGCCGGGTATGGTGGTGCATGCCTGTAATCCCAGCTACTCAGGAGGCTGAGGCAGGAGAATCGCTTGAACCTGGAAGGCAAAGGTTGCAATGAGCCAAGATGGGGCCACTGCACTCCAGCCTGGGTGACAGAGCTAGGCTCCATCTCAAAAAAAAAAAAAAAGAATATAGGGAAGGATGCCTTTTATTATCTGAAGCCTTGATGATTGTCTTACAGACCATTTGAAACATCTTGTGTAAACGGTATTTAATGCCCTCTAATCATCTGTGGACCATCTTTTGTAGTCCTTTCTCTTTAGGAAGGGTTGGGACAAAGTTGCTCAAAAAGAATAAGCCAATTTAAAATTCTCACAAAGTCTTGGTAGACTGGAGGATAGTAACATTTGTCTTTTCTATAAAACTACTTTATTGAGGCCTGATATGGTGGCTGACACCTGTAATCCCAGCACTTTGGGAGGCCAAGAAAGGAGGATCCCATGACTTGAGGCCAGGAGTTCAAGACCAGCCTGGGCAACATAGTGAGACCCTGCCTCCCCAAAAAATAAAAATATATAAAAATTAGCTGGGTGTAGTGATGCATGCCTGTGGTCCTGGCTTCTTAGGAGGCTGAGGAAGGAAGATCTCTTGAGCCTAGGGGTTGGAGACTGCATTGAGCTATGATCGTGCCACTGCACTCCAGCCTGGATGACAGAGTGAGACAAGAGAATTTGCCTCTAAAAATAAAATGAAATAAAATAAAAACCACTTTATTGAGGTATGATTGACAAACAAAAAGCTGAACATATTTAATGTATATTACCTGAGTTTGAAGATAAGTCGACACCTATAACATTTCTTGAGATAAATACAGCCTTGGATTGCTTGTATTAAGAGAGAATAAACAAACCCTTTCCTGTGAAGTAGACAATATTTATTTATTTATTCATTTATTTATTTATTTTTGAGATGGAGTCTCACTCTGTTGCCTGGGCTGGAGTGCAATGGTCCGATCTTGGCTTACTCCACCTCCTGTGTTCAAGCCATTCTCCTGCCTCAGCCTCCCGAGTAGCTGGGATTACAGGCATGTGCCACCATGTCTGGCTAATTTTTTGTATTTTTAGTAGAGACGGGGTTTCACCATGTTGGCCAGGCTAGTCTCAAACTCCTGACCTCAGGTGATCCACCCACATCGGCCTCCCAAAGTGCTGGGATTACAGGTGTGAGCCACTGTGCCCAGCCAAGCAGACAATCTTATTAAAATTTTCAAAAAGGAAAAGACAATGGTGCCAGAATTCAAGTTTGCAGATAACCCAAAACCCTTCTTTTGTCTGTCAAGCTCAAAAAAAAAAAAAAAGGCAACCTCTAAATACAATGTAAATTACCAATGTGTCAAAAGATTACAGATTATTCCAATTCAAATAATAAGAAGAAGTAATATTGGGGTACAATAAAGACCATTTGGTTCATAAGTATAAATTTCTAGCTTGTCTCTGTGGAGATTAAAGCTAATTTTTAGATTTCAGTACATCTCAAGCAATGTCTACATTTTTTCATGAACACATTTCAAAAAAGAGTCCTTTTCTCTTAAGACCTACTCACTTTAGAATTAAAACAAAAAATAAGTGGATCCCTTCCACACATTTAATGCTTGGGGCTTAGTGTTACAGTTATAATGATGGACTACTTAGTTAGAAAGAGTAAGTGCTGGAATGAGACAACAGATGTGATGGGGCTTCTTGCCAGACAGTCTTGATTAATGTAAATCAAGTCAACACTAGAATGTTAATATTTATTTAAAATTAGAGATATTTATATTAGATAATGCCTTTGGTGAATGAGCTCCTCCTCTGAGGGAAGTAAGCTCTTAAAGAGGTGTACTCATGGACCACTCATGAAAATCAAATATCATGAAATCAATGCCCCCGAAGAACTTTCCAGGTCAGGAGCAGTGGCTCATGCCTGTAATCCCAGTGCTTTGGGAGGCCAAGGTGAGTGGATCACCTGAGGTCAGGAGTTTGAGACCAGCCTGGCCAACATGGCAAAACGCTGTATCTACTAAAAATACAAAAATTAGTTGGGTGTGGTGGTGTGCGCCTGTAGTCCCAGCTACTTGGGAGGCTGAGGAAGGAGAATCACTTGAACCCAGGAGGCGGAGGTTGCAGTGAGCTGAGATCATGCCATTACACTCCAGCCTGGGCAACAAGAACAAAACTCCATCTCAAAAAAGAAGAACTTTCTTCCAAACTCTCTACACTTGATGGCCTATCCACTTCCTTGGCAGTCAAGCCTAGTTCAAAACTGAACCATTCAAGTGGTAGATTGTTCTTAGTTTAGGGTCTGAGAGGTTAAGTTCCAGAAAGAACCCAATTGATTGGATCATGATGAGGTACCAAGCCCATGTGCTCCCTCTCTCCCACCTAAAATCCCATGAAATGAAGATATTTATAGATATAGATGTAGCTATAGATGTACATAATTTTGCCCTTAACAATACAGGAAAGCAGGAAAGAGTATCATCACATAGGTCAGAAACATTATGGATAAATAGAAATCAGCCAGATAAGAGCTGTAGAGAAAAACTGGGCTCAAAAGTATAAGCAGAGAGTACATCTTGTAAGGCTGGAGCACTGAACTGGTTCACACACATTTTCTCACAAATAACAATTAGAAAAACTGGATGAATTAACAACAATAACAAAATCTTAATGACACCAAAAACCTCTAAAAGTAGATAGAAATCAGGAAGAGTTTGCTCTTCTAAGAGTGCAACTGGAAAGGGTTGAGAATTGTTAGCATGTGGCTTTCTCACATGTGGGAGCCTCCAACTCCCACAGCTATGGTGGCTGTAGAAAAAGGTGGCAGAAAAACCATAGCGTTACCAGCTAACAATGCTAGAGATCAGAGTTGAGGGCTAGAAAATCAGCTGGAATTTAAAGGGGGAATATCCTAGTGGCAAGAGAACCACAAGAATAAGATGTAAATTCTGGTTATAAACACTGCACAAATCTCTGTTGGGTAGCTAAATTATACATGTATCCCTAGCTAACAATGCTAGAGATCAGAGTTGAGGGCTAGAAAATCAGCTGGAATTTAAAGGGGGAATATCCTAGTGGCAAGAGAACCACAAGAATAAGATGTAAATTCTGGTTATAAACACTGCCCAAGTCTCTGCTGGGTAGCTAAATTATATATGTATGGGGGGAATACCAAGAGGAAGAACAAGCAGGCAGAGACCAGGGAGGATTCTACTGTGTTTTTTTTTTAATTGATTTTTTTTAAGGATTCTACTGCTAAAGACAGCTACATGGGGTCAATCTGAGAGGTTTTTTGTTTGTTGCTTTTTTGTTTGCTTGCCTTTTTAAGTAAATACATTCCCCAACTGAGCTCAGCTTGGATGGCAGGAAGCTGAACCTCACAGGCTTCAAGTGTCAGAGCTTGAGGTTAACAGAATATTTGGAAAATAGGGAGAAGTCACTAAAAGAAAGGAAATCATGGAAAGGATGAGCTTCATCTCTGCATAAACCCTTGGTTGACTGCTACATAATGCAAGCACACAGAAGAACCCAAGGCCAGGCTAAAAAAGCAGCAGTGGGAAGTCATGAGAATAACAGATGATGCATACTATGGGGAGGCAAAATTTGCAGTTTGAGTCCATGCCAACAATCCTCAGAGAACAGAGTTGCTATAGTATATTCTATATAATACTGAGTTTTCAACAACAAAAAATTATCAAACATGCAAAGAAATAGGAAAATATGACTCAAAAAAAAGGCAGAGTCAGAAGCAACTGATTCCAAGTAGACCCAGGTACTGGATTAGCAGACAAAAACTTTAAAGCAGCTATTTTAAAATACATTCAAAATATTAAAGGAAACTATCACATCAATAAGTGAACAGATAGGTAATCTGAACAGAGAACTAGAAACTATATATGTAATATTATAATTATATACCTTATAGCAATTATATATTCTTCTATAGGTAAGAAGTACAATAACTAAAATAAATTTACTAGGTGGACTCAATGACAGATTGGAGATGGTGAAAAATCTGTAAACTGGAAGGTAGATTTAATAGAGATTACATAATTTTAAAAAGATTTTAAAAATTGAAGAAAAATGAACAGCCTAAAGATCTGTAGGAAAATCTCAAATTACTAAACACAGATAATTCAAATCTCAGGGGAACAGAAGTGAGCAAAGGTGAAAATTCTTAAGGAACAAGGGCTGAAAAACTTCTCAATTTGGTGGAAAATATCAGCTTATAGATTCAAAAAGTTTAACAAATGCTAAGAAAGGATAAACACAAAGAGAAAGACAAATCACAGTCAAACTGATGAAAGACAAAAGCAAAGAAAAAATATTGAAATATAAACAGAAAAATGACATATTATAAAGAAGAAAATCATAAGAATACAGAATGACTTCTCATTAGAAAGTCTGGAATGATGTATTCAAACTAATGAATAAATAGAAAATAATCGGGCAAGAATTCTGTAACCAGTGAAACTTTCTTCAAAAATAAAGGCTAAAAAAATGTTTCCAGATAAATAAAAACTGAGATAATTATTCAGTAGAGGCTTATACTTTTAAAAAGATGTTAAATGAACCAGGCAAAATGGCATGCACCTCTAGTCCCAGCTACTCAGGAGGCTGAGGCAGGAGGAACACTTGAGACCAGGTGTTTAGGCTGCAGTGTGCTATGATCATGCGGGTGAATGGACACTTGACTCCATCCTGGGCAACAGAGTGAAACCCTGTCTCTTAAACAAACAAACAAACAAACAAACAAACAAAAAAAGCTAAGCAAAGTTCTTTAGAGAGGGGAAAGGTAACAGATGACAACTTAGATATATAAGAAAGAATGAAGACCATCAGAAATAGTCAAATATATAAGTAAGCACACAAGACATTTTAAATTTTTTCTTCTCTTAATTTCTTGAAAATGTTTATGACTCTTTAAAGCAAAAATTATAATATTGCATTGATGGAGTTTGATGGAGTTTGTATAAAGATTTAATACAAACATATGAAAGATTATATTAAATGTAAATGGATTAAACATTCCAAATAAAAGCAGAGATTATCAGAATGGATAGAGAAGTAAAAACCAAGTATATGCTGTTTCAAGAGATGTACTTTGAATATAAAGACACATGGAAAAATAAAAGGGTTAAAAAAGATATATCATGCTAAGAGTAAGCATAAGAAAGCTGTAATGAGTACATTAAAATTATACAAAGTTACTTCAAATCAAAGAGAATTACTAGAGACAAAGAGGAACACTTTAATAAAAATGTCAATACAGCAAAAAGATATAACAAATAATTAACAGCACCTAATAACAGAGCTTTAAGATATGCAAAACAAAAACTGTGAGAAATAAAGGTGGAACTCTACATTCATTGCCTGAGACCTTAACATTTTTCTCAGTAAATGATAATACAAGTGGACTAAAAATCAATAAGGAGAAGAAGATCTGTATGACACTAACTACATTAAAAGCTTCCACAGAGAAGAAAAAAGATCTCCAAAGTACATATTGAAATATTCTATTTACATAAAGTTCAAAAGCAGGTAAAACTAATCTATGAGACTAGTTCAGGTAGTAAGTAGGAGGGTGAGGGTAGTGATTGGAAGGGGTGTTTGGGGGATGATAAAAATGTTCTATTGCTTTACCAGGGTGGTAGTCATATAGGTGTGATAAGTCACTGAGGTGCTTATTTATGATTTATGTATTTTGCATATATGTTATACTTCAATACAAACTCCATTAAAATTCTTTTTATACTGCACCAAACTGTATTCAAGTCTGAGGGTAAAACAAACATATTTTCAGGTAAGCAGGGACCAAATTTTCTTTTTTTCTTTCTTCTACTCATCATCATCATCATCTTCTTCTTCTTCTTCTTCTTTTTTTTTTAATAGAAACAGGGTCTTACTCTGTCACCCAGGCTGGCATGCACTGGTGTGATTGTAGCTCATGGTAGCCTCAAACTTCCTCCCACCTTAGCCTCCCGAGTAGCTGGGACTAGAGGCAGTGCCACCAACATGTCCAGTTTATTTATTTAGTTTTGTAAAGATGAGGAAGGGGTGTCTCACCATCTTGCCCAGCTAGTCTCAAACTCCTGGGCTTTAATTATCCTCCCACCTCAGTCTCCCAAAGTGCTGTGATTACAGGCAAGAGCCACTGCACCTGGCTGAGACCATATTTTCTGTATATAGATTGTTTCTGAAAGAATTCCAAAACAAAAAGAATCTAAGGGGATTGATGTGTTAAAAAGAGAGAGAGAGACTGATAATAGCAAAGATCTAGAATTCCAAATAATTTCAACACAGGACATGGTGGAGGAAAGGTGAAAATAAAAATATGCTGAGACTCTTGCCTTTTTGGCAGATTAGATACAAACATTGGTTAACTGTAGTCTTTGATGAAAAACTATATTTATTTATTTATTTTTTTATTATACTCTAAGTTTTAGGGTACATGTGCACATTGTGCAGGTTAGTTACATATGTATACATGTGCCATGCTGGTGCGCTGCACCCACTAACGTGTCATCTAGCATTAGGTATATCTCCCAATGCTATCCCTCTCCCCTCCCCCGACCCCACCACAGTCCCCAGAGTGTGATATTCCCCTTCCTGTGTCCATGTGATCTCATTGTTCAATTCCCACCTATGAGTGAGAATATGCGGTGTTTGGTTTTTTGTTCTTGTGATAGTTTACTGAGAATGATGGTTTCCAATTTCATCCATGTCCCTACAAAGGACATGAACTCATCATTTTTTATGGCTGCATAGTATTCCATGGTGTATATGTGCCACATTTTCTTAATCCAGTCTATCATTGTTGGACATTTGGGTTGGTTCCAAGTCTTTGCTATTGTGAATAGTGCCGCAATAAACATACGTGTGCATGTGTCTTTATAGCAGCATGATTTATAGTCCTTTGGGTATATACCCAGTAATGGGATGGCTGGGTCAAATGGTATTTCTAGTTCTAGATCCCTGAGGAATCGCCACCCTGACTTCCACAATGGTTGAACTAGTTTACAGTCCCACCAACAGTGTAAAAGTGTTCCTATTTCTCCACATCCTCTCCAGCACCTGTTGTTTCCTGACTTTTTAATGATTGCCATTCTAACTGGTGTGAGATGATATCTCATAGTGGTTTTGATTTGCATTTCTCTGATGGCCAGTGATGATGAGCATTTCTTCATGTGTTTTTTGGCTGCATAAATGTCTTCTTTTGAGAAGTGTCTGTTCATGTCCTTCGCCCACTTTTTGATGGGGTTGTTTGTTTTTTTCTTGTAAATTTGTTTGAGTTCATTGTAGATTCTGGATATTAGCCCTTTGTCAGATGAGTAGGCTGCGAAAATTTTCTCCCATGTTGTAGGTTGCCTGTTCACTCTGATGGTAGTTTCTTTTGCTGTGCAGAAGCTCTTTAGTTTAATTAGATCCCATTTGTCAATTTTGGCTTTTGTTGCCATTGCTTTTGGTGTTTTGGACATGAAGTCCTTGCCCATGCCTATGTCCTGAACGGTAATGCCTAGGTTTTCTTCTAGGGTTTTTATGGTTTTAGGTCTAACGTTTAAATCTTTAATCCATCTTGAATTGATTTTTGTATAAGGTGTAAGGAAGGGATCCAGTTTCAGCTTTCTACATATGGCTAGCCAGTTTTCCCAGCACCATTTATTAAATAGGGAATCCTTTCCCCATTGCTTGTTTTTCTCAGGTTTGTCAAAGATCAGATAGTTGTAGATATGCGGCATTATTTCTGAGGGCTCTGTTCTGTTCCATTGATCTATATCTCTGTTTTGGTACCAGTACCATGCTGTTTTGGTTACTGTAGCCTTGTAGTATAGTTTGAAGTCAGGTAGTGTGATGCCTCCAGCTTTGTTCTTTTGGCTTAGGATTGACTTGGCGATGCGGGCTCTTTTTTGGTTCCATATGAACTTTAAAGTAGTTTTTTCCAATTCTGTGAAGAAAGTCATTGGTAGCTTGATGGGGATGGCATTGAATCTGTAAATTACCTTGGGCAGTATGGCCATTTTCACAATATTGATTCTTCCTACCCATGAGCATGGAATGTTCTTCCATTTGTTTGTGTCCTCTTTTATTTCCTTGAGCAGTGGTTTGTAGTTCTCCTTGAAGAGGTCCTTCACATCCCTTGTAAGTTGGATTCCTAGGTATTTTATTCTCTTTGAAGCAATTGTGAATGGGAGTTCACTCATGATTTGGCTCTCTGTTTGTCTGTTGCTGGTGTATAAGAATGCTTGTGATTTTTGTACATTGATTTTGTATCCTGAGACTTTGCTGAAGTTGCTTATCAGCTTAAGGAGATTTTGGGCTGAGACGATGGGGTTTTCTAGATAAACAATCATGTCGTCTGCAAACAGGGACAATTTGACTTCCTCTTTTCCTAATTGAATACCCTTTATTTCCTTCTCCTGCCTGATTGCCCTGGCCAGAACTTCCAACACTATGTTGAATAGGAGCGGTGAGAGAGGGCATCCCTGTCTTGTGCCAGTTTTCAAAGGGAATGCTTCCAGTTTTTGCCCATTCAGTATGATATTGGCTGTGGGTTTGTCATAGATAGCTCTTATTATTCTGAAATACATCCCATCAATACCTAATTTATTGAGAGTTTTTAGCATGAAGGGTTGTTGAATTTTGTCAAAGGCTTTTTCTGCATCTATTGAGATAATCATGTGGTTTTTGTCTTTGGCTCTGTTTATATGCTGGATTACATTTATTGATTTGCATATATTGAACCAGCCTTGCATCCCAGGGATGAAGCCCACTTGATCATGGTGGATAAGCTTTTTGATGTGCTGCTGGATTCGGTTTGCCAGTATTTTATTGAGGATTTTTGCATCAATGTTCATCAAGGATATTGGTCTAAAATTCTCTTTTTTGGTTGTGTCTCTGCCCGGCTTTGGTATCAGAATGATGCTGGCCTCATAAAATGAGTTAGGGAGGATTCCCTCTTTTTCTATTGATTGGAATAGTTTCAGAAGGAATGGTACCAGTTCCTCCTTGTACCTCTGGTAGAATTCGGCTGTGAATCCATCTGGTCCCGGACTCTTTTTGGTTGGTAAACTATTGATTATTGCCACAATTTCAGAGCCTGTTATTGGTCTATTCAGAGATTCAACTTCCTCCTGGTTTAGTCTTGGGAGAGTGTATGTGTCGAGGAATGTATCCATTTCTTCTAGATTTTCTAGTTTATTTGCGTAGAGGTGTTTGTAGTATTCTCTGATGGTAGTTTGTATTTCTGTGGGATCGGTGGTGATATCCCCTTTATCATTTTTTATTGTGTCTATTTGATTCTTCTCTCTTTTTTTCTTTATTAGTCTTGCTAGCGGTCTATCAATTTTGTTGATCCTTTCAAAAAACCAGCTCCTGGATTCATTGATTTTTTGAAGGGTTTTTTGTGTCTCTATTTCCTTCAGTTCTGCTCTGATTTTAGTTATTTCTTGCCTTCTGCCAGCTTTTGAATGTGTTTGCTCTTGCTTTTCTAGTTCTTTTAATTGTGATGTTAGGGTGTCAATTTTGGATCTTTCCTGCTTTCTCTTGTAGGCGTTTAGTGCTATAAATTTCCCTCTACACACTGCTTTGAATGCGTCCCAGAGATTCTGGTATGTGGTGTCTTTGTTCTCGTTGGTTTCAAAGAACATCTTTATTTCTGCCTTCATTTCGTTATGTACCCAGTAGTCGTTCAGGAGCAGGTTGTTCAGTTTCCATGTAGTTGAGCGGCTTTGAGTGAGATTCTTAATCCTGAGTTCTAGTTTGATTGCACTGTGGTCTGAGAGATAGTTTGTTATAATTTCTGTTCTTTTACATTTGCTGAGGAGAGCTTTACTTCCAACTATGTGGTCAATTTTGGAATAGGTGTGGTGTGGTGCTGAAAAAAATGTATATTCTGTTGATTTGGGGTGGGGAGTTCTGTAGATGTCTATTAGGTCTGCTTGGTGCAGAGCTGAGTTCAATTCCTGGGTATCCTTGTTGACTTTCTGTCTCGTTGATCTGTCTAATGTTGACAGTGGGGTGTTAAAGTCTCCCATTATTAATGTGTGGGAGTCTAAGTCTCTTTGTAGGTCACTGAGGACTTGCTTTATGAATCTGGGTGCTCCTGTATTGGGTGCATAAATATTTAGGATAGTTAGCTCCTCTTGTTGAATTGATCCCTTTACCATTATGTAATGGCCTTCTTTGTCTCTTTTGATCTTTGTTGGTTTAAAGTCTGTTTTATCAGAGACTAGGATTGCAACCCCTGCCTTTTTTTGTTTTCCATTGGCTTGGTAGATCTTCCTCCATCCTTTTATTTTGAGCCTATGTGTGTCTCTGCACGTGAGATGGGTTTCCTGAATACAGCACACTGATGGGTCTTGACTCTTTATCCAACTTGCCAGTCTGTGTCTTTTAATTGCAGAATTTAGTCCATTTATATTTAAAGTTAATATTGTTATGTGTGAATTTGATCCTGTCATTATGATGTTAGCTGGTGATTTTGCTCATTAGTTGATGCAGTTTCTTCCTAGTCTCGATGGTCTTTACATTTTGGCATGATTTTGCAGCAGCTGGTACCGGTTGTTCCTTTCCATGTTTAGCGCTTCCTTCAGGAGCTCTTTTAGGGCAGGCCTGGTGGTGACAAAATCTCTCAGCATTTGCTTGTCTGTAAAGTATTTTATTTCTCCTTCACTTATGAAGCTTAGTTTGGCTGGATATGAAATTCTGGGTTGAAAATTCTTTTCTTTAAGAATGTTGAATATTGGCCCCCACTCTCTTCTGGCTTGTAGGGTTTCTGCCGAGAGATCCGCTGTTAGTCTGATGGGCTTTCCTTTGAGGGTAACCCGACCTTTCTCTCTGGCTGCCCTTAACATTTTTTCCTTCATTTCAACTTTGGTGAATCTGACAATTATGTGTCTTGGAGTTGCTCTTCTCAAGGAGTATCTTTGTGGCGTTCTCTGTATTTCCTGAATCTGAACGTTGGCCTGCCTTGCTAGATTGGGGAAGTTCTCCTGGATAATATCCTGCAGAGTGTTTTCCAACTTGGTTCCATTCTCCACATCACTTTCAGGTACACCAATCAGACGTAGATTTGGTCTTTTCACATAGTCCCATATTTCTTGGAGGCTTTGCTCATTTCTTTTTATTCTTTTTTCTCTAAACTTCCCTTCTCGCTTCATTTCATTCATTTCATCTTCCATTGCTGATACCCTTTCTTCCAGTTGATCGCATCGGCTCCTGAGGCTTCTGCATTCTTCACGTAGTTCTCGAGCCTTGGTTTTCAGCTCCATCAGCTCCTTTAAGTACTTCTCTGTATTGGTTATTCTAGTTATACATTCTTCTAAATTTTTTTCAAAGTTTTCAACTTCTTTGCCTTTGGTTTGAATGTCCTCCCGTAGCTCAGAGTAACTTGATCGTCTGAAGCCTTCTTCTCTCAGCTCGTCAAAATCATTCTCCATCCAGCTTTGTTCCGTTGCTGGTGAGGAACTGCGTTCCTTTGGAGGAGGAGAGGCGCTCTGCGTTTTAGAGTTTCCAGTTTTTCTGTTCTGTTTTTTCCCCATCTTTGTGGTTTTATCTACTTTTGGTCTTTGATGATGGTGATGTACAGATGGGTTTTCGGTGTAGATGTCCTTTCTGGTTGTTAGTTTTCCTTCTAACAGACAGGACCCTCAGCTGCAGGTCTGTTGGAATACCCTGCCGTGTGAGGTGTCAGTGTGCCCCTGCTGGGGGGTGCCTCCCAGTTAGGCTGCCCGGGGGTCAGGGGTCAGGGACCCACTTGAGGAGGCAGTCTGCCCGTTCTCAGATCTCCAGCTGAGTGCTGGGAGAACCACTGCTCTCTTCAAAGCTGTCAGACAGGGACACGTAAGTCTGCAGAGGTTACTGCTGTCTTTTTGTTTGTCTGTGCCCTGCCCCCAGAGGTGGAGCCTACAGAGGCAGGCAGGCCTCCTTGAGTTGTGGTGGGCTCCACCCAGTTCGAGCTTCCCGGCTGCTTTGTTTACCTAAGCAAGCCTGGGCAATGGCGGGCGCCCCTCCCCCAGCCTCGTTGCCGCCTTGCAGTTTGATCTCAGACTGCTGTGCTAGCAATCAGCGAGATTCCGTGGGCGTAGGACCCTCTGAGCCAGGTGTGGGATATAGTCTCGTGGTGCGCCGTTTCTTAAGCCGGTCTGAAAAGCGCAATATTCGGGTGGGAGTGACCCGATTTTCCAGGTGCGTCCGTCACCCCTTTCTTTGACTGGGAAAGGGAACTCCCTGACCCCTTGCGCTTCCCAGGTGAGGCAATGCCTCGACCTGCTTCGGCTCGCGCACGGTGCGCGCACACACTGGCCTGCGCCCACTGTCTGGCACTCCCTAGTGAGATGAACCCGGTACCTCAGATGGAAATGCAGAAATCACCCGTCTTCTGCGTCGCTCACGCTGGGAGCTGTAGACCGGAGCTGTTCCTATTCGGCCATCTTGGCTCCTCCCCCCGAAAAACTATATTTAAATATGTATATTAAAAATTTAGAGGTTGACTGCAGTGGCTCATGCCTATAATCTGAGAGGCCTGTGCTCTGGGAGGCCGAGGTAGGAAGATTGCTTGAGGATGGCAGTTGAAAACCAGCTTGGGCAACATAGTGAGACCCTGTTTCTGGGAAAAAAAAAAAAAAAAAAAAAAAAGAATTTTTTTTTTGTTTTAATTAGCTGGGCATGGTGGTACATGCCTGCATCCCAGCTACTCCAGAGGTTAAGGCAGGAGGATTGCTTAACCCCAGGAGTTCTGAGCTGTGATTGCGTCACTGTGCTCTAGCCTGGGTGACAGAGGAAGACCTTATGTCCTAAAAGAAAAAAAAACAATTCAAGGGTAACCACTAAATGAATACAAATAAAGTAGATAGTTTCCAAGTTGTATGCAGCAAAGGTTAAAACGGAACCAAATAAAACATGACAGCTACAAGAAAAGACAAAAAGAGTAAACATGTTAAACAGAAAAATATATAAACTTATCAGATAGTAATACTTATGAATGAATTAAATTCTATTAAAAGACTAAGACTTACCTAAAACTAAACACTAATAGGTTGAAAATAAAGAGTTGAAAAAAGACAATACACTCTCTTTTGCTGCAATGCACGTCTCTGTAATGAATATTAGCTCATATGCAATTGGTAAAACTGCAATTATTTTTGCACCAACCTAACAGAATATTACACAAGTTTCATTGGTTCATGCATGATTTAATCTCAGTATAATAATGCTTTGGTATATAAAGTAATAGCAATTGAAAACAAAGAACATTAACACAACTAAATTAGCAAGTAAATGAAGAATGCAGTACCATACATTTATTCTATGTTCTTCCTCTTAGTTTAGTTCATATTCACAACTCAGCAGCCTCAAGTCTTCTTAAATCTCCTTTTAGAAAGTTACCCTTACTTATTAAAAGGCGAAGTCCTATATTTACTGCAGTATTTCTTTCTTATTAGGAATTTAATAAACTCTTTCTAACTGTGCTAATAGTTTATTAAAATTGTGACTGGTTTGTTAGTGCTCTGATTACAAAATTGCATCAGTAGTAAGAGGTCTGGCCTAACCCCAGTGATTCTCAGCTAGGGGTAATTTTGCCACCAGGGGAAGTTTGGCAAGGTCTGGGGACATTTTTTGGTCGTCATAATTGCAGGGAAGGAGCTGCTACTCGCGTCTGATGGGTAGAGCCCAGGAATGCTGCCAAACATCCTTTAATGCACAGAATAGCATCCACAATATCAAGTTATCTAACTCAAAATGTCAATAGTGCGGAGGTTGAGAAATCCTGGCCTAATTCAATTTTTCCCAGAAGTCCTTTTTTTAATAAATAAATGAATTTGTTTAATAAACAAATGAATTTTTATAATAAACGAATTCATTTATTACATTATAGCAAAAATTCCTAATTAGTAAATGTTATTTTAAAGGAATGAAGATGTGGTAATCTTAATATCAGACTAAGTAAAATTGATGGCAAGAGAAATATTTTGAGAGGCCAGGCGTGGTGGCTCACGCCTGTAATCCCAGCACTTTGGGAGGCCAAGGCGGGTGGATCACCTGAGGTTGGGAGCTCGCGACCAGCTGGGCCAACATAGTGAAATCCCATCTCTACTAAAAATATAAAAATTAGCTGGGCGCGGTGGCACATGCCTGTAGTCCCAGCTACCCAGGAGGCTGAGGTGGGAGAATTGCTTGAACCTGGGAGGCAGAGGTTGCAGTGAGCCAAGATCGTGCCACTGCACTCCAGCATGGCAACAGAGCGAGACTCAGTCTCAAAAAAAAAAAAAAAAAGAAAGAAAGAAAAGAAAAAGAAAAGGAAAAGGAAAAGAAAGAGATGCAAAACCCAAACAGATCAATAACTATATAAGCAATTGAAAAGATGGTTTAAAATCTACCCTTAAAAAAAGCACCAGGGCCAAACAGTTTTGCAGATTAATTCTACTAAAGTGCTTATTAAAAAAAAAGAGGGGAAAAAGTGAGACCAAAAGAAAATGACCAACTTGCAAACAAAGATTCACCTAGTGGGAAAGCAGCAGCCATTTTCACTGTTAGAAATAACGTGGAAAGACCTAATCACAGGGATTCAGGGAACGGAAACTACAGCTCAAGATCTCAAAAACTGAGGTCTGAGGCCGGGTGCAGTGGCTCACGCCTGTAATCCCAACACCTTGGGAGGCTGAGGTGGGTGGATCACTTGAAGTCGGGAGTTCAAGACCAGCCTGGCCAACAAGGTGAAACCCCATCTCTACCAAAAATATAAAAAATTAGCCGGGCGTGGTGGTGCATGCCTGTAATCCTAGCTACTCAGGAGGCTGAGGCAGGAGAATCGCTTGAATCGAGGAGGCAGAGGTTGCAGTGAGTCGAAATCCCACCACTGCACTCCAGCCTGGGTGACAGAGCAAGACTCCGCTTCAAAAACAAACAAACAAACAAACAAACAAACAAAAACCCCCCAAAAACAAAAAACAAAACAAAACAAAAACTGAGGTCTGAATATAAGTCTTGCTGAAAGTTGAGTATTATAAATTAAGCTAAGTACTGAGGAAGTTCAGAGCAAAAACTGACCAACTTCATGAAATGAATCTCACCAAAGACAAAATGTGTTACAAAATCAAATACCAGAACATCTGACTGAAGCTCCTTTTGATATCAAAACTGCTGGTAGTTATTTGTTTTACTTGTGCTGGGTGAGATTTACCAAGAAATACAGCAACTAGATCCAGAAGCCCTCGTAATACCCACCACCATGAAGCCTGTGAAATCTAGAAGACCTCAAGAGGTACAAATGACAGGAAAGAAGTTTGAAAACAGGTACCACAGATACTTCGTGTCTTAAGATGGGGCTATATGCCTGATAAACCCAATGTAATTGAAAATATCCTAAGTCGAAAATGCACTTAATACACTTCACCTACTGAACATCCTAGGTTAGCCCAGCCTACCTTAAACATACCCAGAACACTTCCATTAGCCTATAGCTGGGCAAAATCATCTAACACAAATCCTATTTTATAATAAAGTGTCGAATATCTCATGTAATTTATTGAATACTGTACTGAAAGGGAAAAACAAAATAGTTGTATGTGTACTTGAAATATAGTTTCTACTGAATACATTTTGCTTTTACACCATCATAAAATAAAAAAAATCATAAGTCAGGGACTGTCTGTACTAAGCTTTCTCTGGATGGGATTAAGAAAACAGAAAGGTTTTGTCAGGTACTTACCCTTTCCATGAGGGGTTTATTAGAAAAGTCAATATTCTAAAGAAACTCAAATTTGAATTGGAAAGCTAATATAATTGCATGGCAAAGACAATGGAAAGTCTCTTAAAATAATTCACCACGTTAGAAAAATTTAAGGAGAAAAATCATAACTATGTTCATTAATATTGAAAATGCATTCATAAAATTAAATGCCCTGGCACACTGCATCAAATCTCCACATTCTTGTTTTTCTCTTCTACTCACAATGGAAAGACAATATCCTCGACAGCATCAAAGTGACAAGTCGCTATGAGCGTCTCTTTGAAATCCGTGAAGCTGACACGATAAATGTGCGATTCTTCTGTTCCTACGAGAAACTGGTGTCCTTCTCCTCGAAGTGTGATAGAAGTGATGCCGCCTTGTAACTGAATCTTCCTTTAGGGAGAAGCACAAAAGTAAAGTAGATTCACTCAACCAGTAAGTAGTTACGAATCATGTGAAGCATGGCAGAGGATACAAATCAGGCATATAATTTCAGACACGCCCTCACAGAAGTGACACAGTTGAAAAGGCAGGAGTTACTCACAAGTTGGTGTACCCACGAACAGCAAAGCCAGAGGTCAGCATAGGTTAAAGTAGTCAGGAAAGCTTCTTCAGTGAGATAACGTTTTGACATGGGTTGTGCAATGCAGGCAGGATTTGGGTAGAGGGAATATTCCAGGCAGGCATATGGGTACAAATGACCACAGCAACTAACCCCTTTATTAATTCCACTTCTGAAAAATAATCCTAAAATCAGGGGGAAGATGCTTTACGTCAAAGGATGCTATGATAACCCTATCTGAAAGAGTAAAAGGTTGGAAACAACCTAAATACCCAGTTGTAATGGAATAGTTAAATGATCTATGGAACATCAGCTTCATAGGATATTTGCCTAAAAAAAGTTTAAAAGATTATGTAGTACGTGTATATGTTACCATAATAAAAAGATTACATCATAATACTGAAAATGTTTATGATGCTTGCATTAAGTAAAAAATTAGAATACAACATTTTATTTATAAGTAAAATCATTTCAGAGCTTGTACAGTTGTTCATGCCTGTAATCCCAGCACTTTGGATGGCCTAGGCAAGGAGGACCACTTGAGGCCAGGAGTTTGAGACTAGCCTGGGCAACATGGCAAGACCCTGTCTCTAAAAATAAAAAATAAAATAAAATAAATTAGCCAGGTGTGGTGGTGCGCACCTATAGTCCCAGCTACTTGGGAGTCTGAGGTAGAAGGGTCACTTGAGCCCAGGAGTTGGAGGCTGCAGTGAGTCACAATCTCATCCCTGCCCTCCATCCTGGATGACAGAGTGAGACTCTGTCTCAAAAAAAGAAAAAAAAGAAAAACTAGGGGTTGTCTTTGCCAGAACCTTAAGGAGTTGGTTTTTCCTCTTCTACATTTCAGATTTCTCCCTCTTCCCTTTATAATGAGTATGAACTTAAAAAAAAAAAGTATATACATGAATGAGGCCCTAGGATACAGACTCTCTCTGTAACTAGTTTAGTTTAGACAATGAAGAATTCAACGCAGGTTCTTGTGCAAGAAGCCAGCATGGGAAATACAGTGTTTTAGAGATTTATTGGTGGGACACAGAACAGTTAATGACGAAAGGAAGATGACAAGTTAAACCTCAGTTCTTGCACTAACTAGAGGTTTGTGACTCTGGACAAGTTGTCAGAAACCTCTGGCCTCAGTTTACTCAACCACAGAATAATTCCTCCTTTACAAGTGTTGCAGTGAAGATGTTGCTCCTTTATATCTGTTGCTAGCCCACAGATGACAACAAAGAAATACTGGCTATTGGCATCTGGGAACTTCAGAAGACAAAATGAAGCCTAGGGATAAAAGGGGAAGAACAGGCTGGGCATGGTGGCTCACACCTGTAATCCTAGCACTTTGGGAGGCCAAGGTGGGTGGATCATCTGAGGTCAGGAGTTTGAGACCAGCCTGGCCAACAGGGTGAAACCCCATCTCTACTAAAAATACAAAAAAAAATTAGCTGGGCTTGGTGGCGGGCACCTGTAATCCCAGTTACTCGGGAGCCTGAGGCAGGAGAATCTCTTGAACCCGGGAGGCGGAGGTTGCAGTGAGCCAAGATGGCGTCATTGCACTCCAGCCTGGGCAACAGAGCGAGACTCCATCTCAAAACAAACAAAAAAAAAAAATGGGGAAAGGAAAGATCTTGGCACTGGAGCTGTCCATTTTGATCATACATCTTCCCTTTCCAGTCTCCATGACTTCTCATGTGAGCAGCCTTTTCAATCTACAAAAAGCCCAGCAGGTGGAAACCACCGCATCTGATTTAATTCTGCACTGTCACACAGGGTTATTTTGGAAACAGTGATAGCACAAACCTGGTGATAATTACTTTGAGTTTATCTTCATCATAATGGGAATGTACACACACTAAAAACAAAGGGGTAAAAAATTAGAAGGTTAATTTACTATATTCACTTCATACATCCAGAGATAACCCAACATAGTTTGTTTTTTACTTGATTTTATTTCTTGCATCTTGTATTATCGACAATACTTGGATGTTATTTCTTTCCTCTCCTGATTGTTGCTATTTTAAGGTTAAGTTTCTCATCATTCCTCTCCCCCACCTCACCTGTATTAGGATTCAGGTTCGGTTGTAAATTAAGAGAGGAGCTTCTCTCTCTCTCTGTCTCTCTCTGTCTCTGTCTCTCTCTCTCTCTCTCTCTCCAGAAATCAGATTCCAGGTTTTATAAGTGTCTATTCCATGAGGTTGTCCAGGCACCAGGCTCCTGATGAATGCTGCTCCCAGCATTCTCTGGGGCTGTGGCTTTCAAACTTGAGCATGTATAATAACCTGGAAGGCTTCCAATATTGTTCTAAAGACTCCTCCCTCCCTCATTTCCCTTCATACAAGCATGAAACTGGTCTAAAACATTCTCAATAAGCCCAATCTTGACCACTGAATTTAAAATGGCAATGTATACACTGCTTTTTTATTTAAAAAAAAAATTGAGACGAGGTCTCGTTCTGTCACCCAGGCTGAGTTCAGTGCCATGATCATGGCTCACTCCAGCCTCAACCTTGAGGTTGACTGATCAACCTCAATCAATCCTCCCGCTTCAGCCTCCTGAGTAGCTGGGACTACAGGTATGTGCCACCACATCTGGCTAATTTTTGTATTTTTTTGTAGAGATGAGGCTTCACTGTGTTGCCCAGGCTGGGCTGGAACTCCTGGGCTCAAGCGATCCACTTGCCTCGACCTCCCAAAGAGCTGGGATTGCAGGCGTGAGCCACTGCACCTGGCCTCCCTGCTTCTATTCAAACCATAATCCCCTTACTCTGCATCCTACTTCATTTTTCTCCATTGTACTTATCACCCTCTAATACTATGTACTTTCCTTGTTTATTTTGTTTCTTATTTATTGCCTTTTCCTTCCTGCTAGAATGTAAGCTCCATGAGGACAGGGATTTTTTTTTTCATCTTTTATGTTTTATTCACTGAGATATCCTAAGCACCTAGAATGATGCCTGGTACCCCGTGAATGTTCAACACAGATTTCTTGGAATGAAGACAGCTGGTGCTCATTTCTACAACATGTGTGCAACTACCCCTGGCTTCCTGGGGGTAGCAGAGGCCATAAAGCACATGTGTGGGGTATCTGGTTTTTGTTTAAGCCCATCCCTCTGTGAACTGTCCTCCCTGATCTTTCCATCCCGAGAAGGTCATCCTCTTCTCTGATCTCTACAACATTCATAATATATTTTACTTTATCTGGACCATGTGCTAATATCCTATCTTGTCTGGTAGTGACTTCTTTCGTGTGTACATACCTTAGCCCCAAACGAGTCTGTAAGTTCTGGGAGGACAAAGACCATAGCTTATTTTTCTTTATTTTATTAATAGTATCTAATACATTGGTTTGGTTGGAGGAGGTGCTGAATAAGCACATTGTTATGGCAATAAATAAGGTTTTGTTTCATTTTATTTTAATTAAATGAGCCAAGAAACATACATAGCAGAGTATCTGGCATATAGAAATGGCTGGTGAATGCTGGCTATTTCTATTATAAATTGTATTCAAATGCATGATTAACACAATGCTTTGCACATAATAGGTACCCATTGCATAATAAATTTCATTGAGTTAACCAATTTTGAACATTTAACATTGGGGGTTATTTCTTGGATAAGTTTATAACATCCCGTTCCTTTCATCATGGCTCAATGTGTTAGCTAAATACAAACTTATGTATTTATTAAATGGGCAGTGTCCCTCTGGGTAATAGTGGACTACTTTGGTTTGATTCAACATAAGCTTTTGTCTTTTCGTTGACAAAGAAGCCACCATCTATTGTGATTCCAACTACTCATTCTAACAGCAAGATGAAATTTTTTAACCAAATATCACTTTGCCGATATCATCGAGTTGCTGGCTTTAAGCAAATCTCCGTTTAGTGGGTCTCTACCCAGCCCCACTGTGTGAGACCCGGAACTTACTTGATGGGTTTGTAGCCAGGGCTTTTACAGAAGACCAGCAGTCCGGCTCCAGAGCCCACCAACAAACCCCCCATCTTCAGGCACCTGATAGCTGACACTCCCTAGGGGGAAAAACTGTGTTAAGAAAAAGCACAAAAATCTCACAAATCACCACTAAAGAATGTACTCATGTAACCAAATACCACCTGTTCCCCAAAAACATATGGCAATAAAAAAAATTTTAAATATTAATGAAAAAAAGAAAAAAGCTGAATGAAAGATGAATTAAAGATGGCCAAAGTCATGCCAGTGCTGCACACATTGCCTGGAGGATGTTCATGAAGGTTCTGCTCGCGATGCACCCCCAGGCTGACCAAGGGGATTCAGTGCCAACAACAAGCTCACTTGCCAGGAAGTAACCCTCCTGGGCCTACAGGATGCAAACAGGCTTCACCATCCTTCCTCCCTAAAACCACTGGTGCATTTTGAATATTTTAAAAATTAACACTTTTACATCCACTCAAATGCAGCCAAGAGAAGGTATAAGCATAACCTCAGCAATGCTAGTCTCTCAGCTGCCACTGTTTTCACCAGAACTTAATTCTTACAAATGCAAAGGGACCATATTTAATATCCCAAGAAAGCACAATAGACTTCTTATTGTTTGGCGACTGTATTATCTGAACTACAACATGTACTACATAAGAGTGGGAAACATATTTAAAATTTAAAGTGCTCTTCAAAGGTTGGGGTGCCCCCCACCATTCTCTCCAAAGAAAAAAAAGGCTTGACAATGTATGATGGTTGTTTTATAGTATCCACTGTGAAGTTCTAATTTTAAAATGTGCGTGAGCAATATTTTATTTTATTTATTTGTTATTACTATTGTTTTTTTGAGGCAGAGTCTCTCTCTGTCACTCAGACTGGAGTGCAGTGGCATGATCTCAACTCACTGCACTCTCTGCCTCCCAAGTTCAAGCGATTCTTGTGACTCACCCACCAGAGTAGCTGGGATTATAGGCATGCGCCATCATGCCTGGTTAATTTTTGTATTTTCAGTAGAGATGGGGTTTCGCCATGTTGGCCAGGCTGGTCTCGAACTCCTCACCTGAAGTGATCCTCCTGCCTCAGCCTCCCAAAGTGATGGGATTACAGGTGTGAGCCACCACACTCAGCCACAACATTTGATTTTAAAACATTCAGTATAGCTAGTGACTGTATAGGTTTGTGTCTTAATGAATTTTGAATATGATAAAACAAATATCCTGCCCTTTCAAGTTACTTTACACTGAATTTAGCCTGTTGTGGCTCAAAAGACATTTTGTGATTGAGAAGAGAAACCAAGGCTCAAGAATGTGAAGGCAAGGACCAGAATTACATGCTCCCCAGCTTCCACCCCTCACCCCTAACTTCCTAAGTGCCTCAGCAGGACAACAGGATGAAGGCTCAGCCTATGAGGAGACAAAACATGGAGTGAATTTTTTAGCATTTATCTGGGGACTTGGGGATGCAAGTGGTAAAGAGTTCAACAGCGCCTCGAAGCTACATATGTGTGATTTCTAAATAAACTTTTTAAAACTATAGATGACGTCATTCAAGTGCACAGGTTCTGCAGCCAGTCGGCCTGGGTTGAAATCTCAGCTCTATTACTTGCAAGCCAGGAGATTTCCAATGTTAAGAGCCTCAGTTTTCTCATCTGTAAAGCAGGGATGAAAATGGTACCTATCTCATTAGGCGTTTATGAAGATCGAATGAGATCATTTAAGGAAGGGGTTTTGCACCATGTCTGACACATCAGCATTTATTGACAGATACCATTTTTGTATTTGCATGTTCGTGTGTGTGTGTGTGTGTGTATTTTGGAGACAGGGTCTCTGCCACCCAGGCTGGAGTGCAGTGGCACAATCACAGCTCACTGTAACCACGAACTCCCGGGATGAAGCAATTCTCCTGCCTCAGCCTCCCCAGTAGCCAGGACTATAGATGCATGCCACCACGCCGGCTAATTTTTAAAAACTTTTCACAGAAATAGGGTATTTCTATGCTGCCCAGGCTGGCCTCAAACTCCAGCCTCAAGTGATCCTCCTGCCTTGGCCTCCCAAAGCGCTAAGATTACAGGCATGATCCACCTTGCCTGGACTATTTTTGTTTTTACTAGGCTATTTTTTTTAGAGCAGTTTTAGGTTTGCAGCAAAATTAAACAGAAGATACAAGTATTTGAGATTTCCCCAATACTTCTTTCCCCCACAGTTAAAGAGCCTCTCCCATTATCAATATCTTCCAGCAGAGTAGATGTATGACAGCTAATAAACCTATGTGGACACATCATTATCACCCAAAATCCATTGTGTACATTAGGGTTCCCTCTTGGCATTGCATACTCTCTGGGTTTGGACAAATTAATAGCAACATATATTTACCATTATAGTGCCATACAGAATAGTTTCACTGCCCAAAACATCCTCTGTGCTTTACCCATTCACTCCTCCCTCCCTGCTAACCCATGGCAAGCACTGATTTTTTTTTTTTTTTTTTTTTTTTTTTTTCAGATGGAGTCTCACTCTGTCGCCAGGCTGAAGTGCAGGGGCGCGATCTCGGCTCAATGCAACCTCCACCTCCTGAGTTGAAGCAATTCTCCTGCCTCAGCCTCCCGAGTAGCTGGAACTACAGGCATGTACCACCACACCCAGCTAATTTTTGTATTTTTAGTAGAGATGGCCAGGATGGTCTTGATCTCTTGACCTCATGATCTGCTCGTCTCAGCTCCCCACAAAGTGCTGGGATTAGTGGTGTCAGCCACCGCGCCCAGCCTGATCTTTTTATTGTCTCCATAATTTTGCCTTTTCCAGAATGTCATATAGTTAGAATCAAATGGTGTGCAGTCTTTCAGACTGGCATCTTCCACTCAGTAATGTGCATCTCAGTTTCCTTCTTTTCCTATAAAGTCTTTTCCTGACTTTATAGCTCATTTCTTTTTAGTACTGATTAATATGCCATTGTTTGGATGTATCACAGTTTACGTATCCCTTTACTTACTGAAGGACATCTTGGTTGCTTCCAAGTTTTGGCAATTATGGATAAAGCTTCTGTAAACATCTGTGTGCAGGTTCTCGTGTGAACATAAGTTTTCAGCTCCTTTGGGTAAATAGCAAGGAGTGCAACTGCTGCATTACATGGTAAGAGTAAGTTTAATTTTGCAAGAAACCACCAAACTATCTTCCAAAGTGGCCGTACTATTTTGCATTCCCATCAGCAATGAACAATAGTACTCACTGCTCTCCATCTCTGTCAATATTAGGTGTTGTTAGTGTTCTGGATTTTGGCCATTTGAAAAGGTATGTAGTCGTGCCTCATTGCTGTTTTAATTACATTTCCCGGCTGATATAAGACATAGAGTATCTTTCCATATGCTTACTTGCCATCTGTATATCTTCTTTTATTTATTTATTTATTTATTTATTTATTTATTTATTTATTTATTTATTTATTTTGAGACAGAGTCTTGCTGTGTCCCCCAGGCTGAAGTGCAATGGCGTGATCTCACTGCCGGGTTCAAGTGATTCTCCTGCCTCAGCCTCCCTAGTAGCTGGGATTACAGGCTCACACCACCACACTTGGCTAACTTTTGTATTTTTAGTAGAGACGGGGTTTCACCATGTTGGCCCCGCTGGTCTTAAACTCCTGACCTCAGGTGATCGGCCCGCCTCAGCCTCCCAAAGTGCTGGGATTACAGGCACAAGCCACTGCGCCCGGCTGCCATCTGTATATCTTCTTTAGGGGAGGTGGCAGTTAAGGTCTTTGGCCCATTTCTTATTGTTGAGTTTTAAAAGTTCTCTGTATATTTTGGGTAACAGTCCTTATTCAGGTATGTCTTTTGCCAATATTTCCTCTCACTCTGTATCTTTATTTTTCATTCTCTTGACAGTGTCTTTCATGGAGCAGAATTTTTGATTTTAAGGAAGTCCAGCTTTTCAATTCTTTCTTTCATGGGTATTATAGCTAAAAGTTATCACCACATCTTAGGTCTTCTGGATTTTATCTTTCAGGAGTTCTATTGTTTTGTGTTTTAGGTCTGTAATCCATTTTGAGTTAATTTTTGTGAAAGGTATAAGGTCTGTGTCTAGGCTTTTTTATTTTTATTTTTTGGTTTTCCAGGTGTTTAGCATTATTTATTAAAAAGACGATCTTTTTTTCCATTGTATTTCCTTTGCTCTTTCACCAATGATCAGTTGACTATGTGAATTCATGTTTGGGCTCTCTATTCTGTCCCATTGATCCATTTATCTATTCTTTCACCAACCCTACACTGTCTTGATTACTGTAGTTTTATGGTAAGTCTTGAAATCTGGTAGTGTCACTCCTCCAACTGTGTTCTTCTTCAATATTGTGCTTTCTTTTTTTAAAAATTATACTTCAAGTTCTGGGATACATGTGCAGAACATGCGGGTTTGTTACATAGGTGTACATGTGCCATAGTGGTTTGCTGCACCCATCAACCCGTCATCTACATCATCTATATTACCCGTCATCTACATTAGGTATCAATATTGTGCTTTCTAGTCGGAGTCTTTTGCCCCTCTGTGTAAACTGTAGAATCAGTTTGTCTACAGACACAAAATAACTTGCTGGGATGTTTATTGGGATTGCAGTAAATCTATAGTTCAAATTAAGAAGAACTCATATCGTGACAATACTGAGTCTTCCTATCCATGAACATGAAATATCTACTTAGGGCCGGGTGTGGTGGCTCACGCCTGTAATCCCAGCACTTTGGGAGGCCGAGGCGGGTGGATCACGGGGTCAGGAGATCGAGACCATCCTGGCTAACACGGTGAAACCCCGTCTCTACTAAAAATACAAAAAAGTTAGCTGGGCATGGTGGTAGGCGCCTGTAGTCCCAGCTACTCTGGAGACTGAGTCAGGAGAATGGCGTAAACTCTGGAGGCAGAGCTTGCAGTGAGCCGAGATAGTGCCACTGCACTCCAGCCTGGGCGACAGAGCGAGACTCTGTATCAAAAAATAATAACAATAATAAAAAAGAATTTCAGCATCCACAGGTGACTTAAGTGCCAAAGGTTTGAGAAACCTAAGATAGCCAGCATCTTTGCTGGACAGATATTTCGTTCCCAAGTGCTAGGAAAACAAAACAAAACAAAACAAAAAATCCACTAGTTTTCAGGTAGTGTTACATGGAGCTCTTTGGAGGCATCTCAGGAGTTGGCACTGGCAGGGCTCTAAGACTTGCTCTCCTTAACCTGATGTGCTTTGTTTTTATTTGTTTAATATATTAGAATTCCTATCCTATATGAACACACACTTCTCAAAAGAAGATATTTATGCGGCCAACAAACATATGAGAAAAAGCTCATTATTACTGGTCATTAGAGAAATGTAAATCAAAACTGCAATGCGATACCATCTCACGTTAGTTAGAATGGCGATCATTAAAAAGTCAGGAAACAACAGATGCTGGGGAGGATGTGGAGAAATAGGAACACTTTTACACTGTTGGTGGGAGTGTAAATTAGTTCAGCCATTGTGGAAGACAGTGTGGTGATTCCTCAAGGATCTAGAACCAGAAATACCATTTGACCCAGCAATCCCATTACTGCGTATATACTCAAAGGATTATAAATCATTCTACATGCACATGTATGTTTATTGTGGCACTATTCACAATAGCAAAGACTTGGAACCAACCCAAATGTCCATCAATGATAGACTGGATAGAAAGAAAATGTGGCACATATACACCATGGAATACTATGCAGCCATAAAAAAGAATGAGTTCATGTCCTTTGCAGGGACATGGATGAAGCTGGAAACCATCATTCTCAGCAAACTAAAACAGGAACAGAAAACCAAACACCGCATGTTCTCATTCATAAGTGAGAGTTGAACAATGAGGACACATGGACACAGGGAGGGGAACATCACACACCGGGGCCTGTCAGGGGTGGGGGCTAGAAAAGGGATAGCATTAAGAGAAATACTTAATGTAGACGACGGGTTAATGGGTGCAGCAAACCACCATGGCACGTGTATACCTATGTAACAAACCTGCACGGTCTGCACATGTATCCCACATGTATGAAGTATAATAATAAAAAAAGAATTCCTATCCTAAAAAGAATTAGAAAAACCACACTTGAAAAGCTACACTTCAATCTCTTGTAGCATTATTTCTAAACTCTTCTCTACTTATACTATAGTTTTTCCCTCTTTTTATGCATCTCCTTGAATGCTTGAATATTAAATGATTATGTGACTAAGAAAACTGTGACATTTTCCCAGGAACACAGTGCAGTATTTCAAAGTTTCTTGAGAATATCTGCTATGTGGAAAAGTATCTAAGCTTAGTTAGAACCATCTGTTCTGTTATCAGAAACGAGATAGGCAGGTGCAGAACATAGTACAAGCTTTCAAATTCAAAGTTTAGTAGAAACAGCCCTGATAAGTTACTGGGGTGCTGGAAATAGCAGCATTTGTTATATAAAATTATCCTTTGATGGTAGCTTTTTATTTTGGTATAAATATCAAAGTCTCTAACTGTCCTTTTAACTAGAATTGCTAGGAAGTCTGTAAATATAAACAGTTGACTATTTCTAGGTCTTGCTCACGACTTATAATGTCAGCTGAGGCTAAAATCTAAGATCTAGTTAGTAAAGTAGACAAAAATTATATATATAGTTTTATAGATCAAAGAGCACACTTCTCTTATGTATGGCAATGGGGCTGGAACCAACGCAGTTTAAAATCACAAAGCAATAGGCCCTATGCTTTGAAGAGGTGAACATAAATGTGGTACTTTTTTTAAAATTTTATTATTATTATACTTTAAGTTTTAGGGTACATGTGCACAACGTGCAGGTTTGTTACATATGTATACATGTGCCATGTTGGTGTGCTGCACCCATTAACTCGTCATTTACATTAGGTATATCTCCTAATGCTATCCCTCCCCCCTCCCCCCACCCCACAACAGTCCCTGGTGTGTGATGTTCCCTTTCCCGGGTCCATGTGTTCTCATTGTTCAATTCCCACCTATGAGTAAGAAAATGTGGTGTTTGGTTTTTTGTTCTTGGAATAGCTTGCTGAGAATGATGGTATCCAGCTTCATCCATGTCCCTACAAAGGACATGAACTCATCCTTTTTTATGGCTGCATAGTATTCCATGGTGTATATGTGCCACATTTTCTTAATCCAGTCTATCATTGTTGGACATTTGGGTTGGTTCCAAGTCTTTGCTATTGTGAATAGTGCCGCCAATGACTTTCTTCACAGAACTGGAAATGTGGTTCTGATTCCCTAATTCAGGACACCTAGAAATGTCTTTACCCAGAATAAAAACCAGAGACGAGGGCATAGAGAACTGGCCAATGTACCTTGCAAATTGAGATGTGGCTTTGGGTCCATCACTGACTTTTTATGTTTTCCCACAAACTCTTTCTTCATTAAGAAAGTGTGTGCTCAGTGAAACCCCGTCTCTATTAAAAAATACAAAAAAATTAGCTGGGCGTGGTGGCGGGCGCCTGTAGTCCCAGCTACTTGGGAGGCTGAGGCAGGAGAATGGCGTGAACCCAGGAGGCGGAGCTTGCTGTGAACCGACATCTCGCCACTGCACGCCAGCCTGGGCGACAGAGCGAGACTCTTTCTCAAAAACAAACAAACAAACAAACAAACAAAGTGTGTGCTTTGTCCGGGCATGGTGGCTCACACCTGTAATCCCAGCACTTTGAGAGGCCAAGGTGGGCAGATCACTTGAGGTCAGGAGTTCAAGATTAGCCTAGCCAACATGATGAAACCCTGTCTGTACTAAAAAATACAAAAATTAGTCGGGTGTGGTGGGGCACACCTGTAGTCCCAGCTACTTGAGAGGCTGAGGTGGGACAATCGCTTGAACCTGGGAGGCAGAAGTTGCAGTGAGCCAAGATCACGTCACTGTACTCCAGGTTGAGTGACAGAACAAGACTGCATCTCAAAAAGGAAAAAAAAAAGTACATGCTGCCAGTGAAGGGAGAAAAATGGCAGGGCAGTGGCGATGGTCTCTACTCACCAAACTGAATTTGTCCTTCGCAGGCCCAACATCTGTCAGCAGTTTAGTCCTGGGGTTCATTTTTAGAATATCTCCAGTCGTGGTGCCAAGGTAGAAAAAGCTATCATCATCATCCACCTGAAGAAGCAAGAAAAAGAAATCTTGGCCAGCCTCGGTGGCTCACGCCTGTAATATCAGCACTTTGGGAGGCCGAGGCGGGTGGATCACCTGAGGTCAGGAGTTCAAGACCAGACTGACCAACATGGAGAAACCCTGTCTCTACTGAAAATACAAAATTAGCTGGGTGTCGTGGTGCATGCCTATAATCCCAGCTACTCGGGAGGCTGAGGTAGGAGAATCGCTTGAACTCAGGAGGCAGAGGTTGCAGTGAGTCAAGATTGTGCCATTGCACTCCAGCCTGGGCAACAAGAGCAAAACTCTGTCTCAGGAAAAAAAAAAAGAAGAAGAAAACTTGAAGACCTGGATGCCCTGAATGATGCCCATGAACACCTGTTCAGGAATGGGATGAGGTTCCTCTGGCACCCCATGAAGACTTACAAAGATGCTCAGGGCTGCTTCTATTTCCCCAGGCTCAAAGATGGGTCAGAACAGCTCTGAGGGGAGCAGGGTAAGGGCTACACATAGAATGGGAGGAAATATTCGACCCCAATTAGCCTGTGCCTTTCACTTGAAGTCTATCTGGTTCTGATGTTAATAGGCATCCTCTGCCAGTTCAGAATTTTGAGACATCTCTTAAGGGCTCCTAGGATAAAGGTGTGCCCCTCCAAAAAGGATGTACATTTGCTTTATCTCATATTTTCCAAAGCTTATATCCATAAAATGACTATGCATTAAACAAGAGGAATCAGTCCATGGAGAATGAAGTTATACAGGTTGAGTATAATCCAAAAATCTAAAAATCTAAAATCTGAAATGCTCCAAAATCGGAAATTGTTGAGTGCTGATGTGACACTCCAAGGAAATGCTCATTAGCACATCTCAAATTTTGAATTTTCAGATTAGAGATGCTGAACTTGGAAGTATAATGCAAATACTCCAAAATCTGAAGAAAATCCAAAATTCAAAACACTTCTGGCTATATGCATGTCAGATAAGGAATATGCAACCTGAATATATAAACCCACATTTAAAATATATTAATAATTTCTCTTTATGGAAGAGATTGCATTTCAACAATGGATTTCATGGTCAGAAACTTTATTTTCAGTGGCAGAAATAGCATCAGTGGCATAGGAATGTGCTGTGGGCTCTGAGTGCCACGGGCTGCATTGCTTTCATCCAGGTGAGGCAGGCTTTCGGTGTTTGATGACAGCCTAGATTCCAGCAAAACAAGGTTTACCTGTGCTGTGTCTAGGTGACTCTTCCCTGACTCCTAAAGGGAGTGGCAGAGGTGCAGAGGTGAACTTTTTCTTCTTTTTTTTTTGAAACAGAGTGTCACTCTGTTGTCCAGGCTGGAGTGCAGTGGCATGATGCCAGCTCACCGCAACTTCCGCCTCCCAGGTTCAAGCAATTCTCCTGCCTCAACCTCCCAAGTAGCTGGGATTACAGGCACCTACCACCACACCTGGCTACTTGTGTATTTTTAGTAGAGACAAGGTTTCACCATGTTGGCCAGGCTGGTCTCGAACTCATGACCTCAAGTGATTCACCCACCTCCGCCTCCCAAAATGCTGGGATTACAGGCGTGAGCCACTGCACCTGGCCAAAGTGAGCTTCTTCAATCAACATCCCCTATGTCTATACCCCACTTTCCTATCCCCAGCCCCATGTACACACACACAAACACCTTGGTCAGCACTGCTAACAGGAACGTGTGCTAATTGTTACTTAATACTTAAATTAATACTTACTCCAATACTCATGACTATTCTTTTCAACTGTCCTGTTTGGCACTCAGTTGGCCAGATTTTTCTATTTGGAAGATCCAATTCCCATACTCGAATTGTCCCACTATGTAAAAAAAAAAAACAAAAAACCACAATCAAATGGACACCCATTTAATAATCACTTCATCCCTGAAACTGAAGGGAAGAGATCTAAACATTTTTGAGGCTTCGTTATGGCCTAGTGCACTATGAAAGATCTTTTATTCGATCCTCATAACACCACCACGAGGCAGGTTTTATGATCCCCCCTCCCAAATTAGAAAGTGCGGAGCTTGAACACAGCAGAGCAGGGATTCACACCTGGCTCCGTCTCACTCTGAAGTGCACACTACCCACTCTACTGAAAACAAACACACAAGTAAGCAGGGAACATGGGCAGAGCAAATCAGAGCTTATTAAATGTCTTCCTCTTTTTCTTTTCTTTCTTTCTTTCTTTCTCTCTCTCTTTCTCTCTCTCTTTCTCTCTTTCTCTCTCTCTCTCTCTCTCTCTCTCTTTCTGACAGAGTCCCACTCTATTGCCAGGCTGGAGTGCAGTGGCGCAATCTCTGCTCACTGCAACCTCCACCTCCCAGGTTCAAGCCATTCTCCTGCCTCAGCCTACTAAGTAGCTGGGACTACAGGTGCCCGCCACCACGCCCAGCTAATTTCTGTATTTTTAGTAGAGACGGGGTTTCACCATGTTGGCCAGGATGGTCTCCATCTCTTGACCTCGTGATCCATCCGCTTCAGCCTCCCAAAGTGCTGGGATTACAGGCATAAGCTACAACGCCTGGCCTTCTTTTCTTTCTAATTGACAAGTAAAAATAATATATATTTATGGTGTACATCATGATGTTTATATACATATACACATTGTAGAATAGCAAAATCAAGCTATTGAACATATGCATTATCTCATATACTTACCATTTTTTTGGCGGTGAGAATACTTAAAATTGTGTTAGCAATTTTCAAGTATACAATATATTACGAACTATACTCACCATGATGTACATAACCTGTGTGCATCAAAAGATGGATGGACTTTTAAAATGTGGTATATGTACGCAATGGGAAGAAATTCTGTCATTTGTGACAACATGGACAAACCTGATGGACATTATGTTAAGTGAAATAAGGCAAGCACAGAAAAACAAACACTGCATGACTTTACGCAGCTGTGGAGTGTAAAAAAGCCTAACGCATGAGACAGTAGAATGGTGGTTATCAGAGACTGGGGGTGGGAGAGTAGGGAGATGTTGGTCAAAGGACATCAAATTTCAGTTCAACAGGAGGAGGAGGGCCAGGCGCAGTGGCTCACACCAGTAATCCCAGCACTTTGGGAGGCAAAGGTGGGTGGATCACCTGAGGTCAGGAGTTCGAGACCAGCCTGGCCAACATGGTGAAAACCCCGTCTCTATTAAAAATATAAAAAATTAGCCAGGCGTGGTGGTGGGCACCTGTAATCCCAGCTAGTCGGGAGGCTGAGGCAGGAGAATCGCTTGTACCTGGGAGGTGGAGGTTGCAGTGAGCCGAGATCGTGCCACTGCACTACAGCCTTGGCAACAAGAGCAAAACTCCATCTCAAAAAAAAAACACACACACACACACAACAACCATGAGGAGGAGTAAGTTTAAATGTGTTTTTTTCAAGGTATTGAGTTGCAAGGAAAATTTTAAAGGGAAGACCTGTGGTGTGGAGTCTTGTCTTCAAGGAAAGAGAAATGAGACCAAGCAACTAAAAGCTAAACCAAATTAGCATCTAACACAGGACTTGATACATGGTCGGTATTTACTCATTATATGTTGAATTAATCTGAATTAATAATTGTATAAAAATTTCAAGGCCAACATCACAAAGACTTCAGCTAATATTTTAAGGCAGAAAAGATTAATCTAAAAATATATCAAGTTTTGGGCCAGGCATGGTGGCTGATGCCTATAAATCCTAGCCCTTTGGGAGGCCGAGGCAGGTGGATTGCCTGAGCTCAGGAGTTCAAGATCAGCCTGGACAACACAGTGAAATCCCATCTCTACTAAAATACAAAAAAATTAGCCGGGCGTGGCAGCATGCACCTGTAATCCCAGCTACTTGGGAGGCTGAGGCAGGAGAATCATTTGAACCCGGGAGGCAGAGGTTGCAGTGAGCTGAGATTGCGCCATTGCACTCCAGCCTGGGCAACAGTGTGAGAGTCTGTCTCTCTCTATATGTGTACATATATATATATATATATATATATATATATATATATATATATACACACACATATATATCTACATACATATACATATGTAACTATATAAACATATATATAACTATGTATGTATATATATAGTTTTTCTTTTGTTTTTTTAGCTCCCAGAGTTATATATATAGTAAGTACTCAGACATATTTTAAACGTACTGAACTTTTTTTTTTTAAACAAAGAGCTTTTTCATGGTCTTCCTGGTAGATGTTATTTGGATTCTGAAATACTTAAACTTGCAGGACATCTCATGGGGACAATATAGTGGAATACATGGCACTGGGACCAAGTTAGAGAACCCAGCATACATAGGTGCCATGTCAAAAATTTTACTTACGAATGATCACTTTCTCAGTTCTCAGTGTCACATGAAATCAAACCAGACATAGAATGCAGATTGTCCTAAAAAAACTTTTTTTTTAATATAAAATTCAAGTATTGAGTCCTGAAGAAATGTTGCTCATGGACTTCAGAATGGACCAATGCCTGCTGCTTAAGGGGCTGTGAAGGAGCAGAAAGAACCCTATAAAACCCTGGCTTAGTCAAATCACTCTGCAAATCTGAAAAAAGTTGAAGAGTGTCGCCACAGCCCGTGGTCAGTTGCTTTAGGTTGCTTGGTAGGGCTGGTTTTCGTGCCGGTCAATTAGCTTCATGGCCTCTGAATGAATCGTTCCTCATAATTAGCCATGGAGCAAATGTAAGTTGCATATCATAAAGCGGGGACAGGAAACAATATAGATGTAGAGCTGCACAAATTCTCTTCTCTAGCTGGAAAAGTAACCAACCATGTGTACCTTTCCAAGATGGGTTGAAAAAAATAGTTCTACTGAACACATACTTCAACTCTGTATTTTCTGATTTCTTGCCCTCTGAACTGGTATATAACATTAAAAAAGGATTTCTAAAATTCATATTTAACCTTCCCTTCAAACTCCAAACAGGCACCTGAGGTCAGGAGTTGGAGACCAACCCGGCCAATGTGGTGAAACCCTGTCTCTATTAAAAATACAAAAATTAGCCGGGTGTGTTGGCGGGCACCTGTAATCCCAGGTACTTGGGAGGCTGAGGCAGGAGAATTGCTTGAACCCGGGAGGTGGAGGTTGCAGTGAGCTGAGATCATGCCACCGCACTACAGCCTGGGTGACACAGCAAAACACTGTCAAAAAAAAAAAAAAAAACCCTCCCTAATTTGCTAATTTAAACAAGGTTCTAATTAGTGAATCTGTAAATTAATTTATTCCCTCCCTTAGGCAGATACTGGCCTCTGTTCAAACTTTCAGCTAGGTCACCATTAGCTGGTTAAAGCTGATCCTGCCCGTAATTATTTTACATGGCTAACAGTCTAACCATTTGAAACTTCCTGGCAGAATTCATTTGCAAACTATCAGATCATGAGACCCCAATCAAGAGCAGGTGGGAAGAAACATCAGTCAGTAGGTGAATCTGTGCAATTGTGCAAATTGTTTCTGTGAGCATGGATTGGAGATAATTCTGTCACAAACAAGAACCTGAGAACAGTTAAGCAGGTAAGCAAAATCTTTTCAGCAGCAATCACAGAATTTTAAAATAACTATAGTGAAAATACTTCCAGTGAAGAGAACTTTTAATGAGTACAAAATCACAAAAACTATGATGTAAGGTATTTATCCAGGACTAAAGACGTGTTCCCCCAGATCAGAATGACCATGTTTTCTGTGCAAGAAAATATAGCAATTTATGAGTTCTGAAAACTCCGAACGCAGACACATACTTTCCAGCAGTCATAAACATCTCATCCCGGCACCTGGAGAAGATCACATTGGTGGCATTGCCAACATTGAGGCCGGCTGCAGGGCTGCCACAGATGGCATCTCTCTTGGCTATGCTCCACACCACCACACTGCCAAAATAAGAGGGACCAAAAAAAAAAAGTCAAAGAGAAAACAGGCTTTTAAAATAAGAAACAACCATCTTAGTGGTTCTAGAAAGAAAAAAACACAACAGGTTACTTAAAAACGAACAACAAAATTACCCCACCCCTGACATCTCCTCAACTACACTAGGTATTAGAAGACACAACGGTGACACATTAAAAGTTTTTTGTTGTTGTTGTTATTGTTTCTTTTTGAGATGGAGTTTCACTCTTGTTGCCCAGGCTGGAGTGCAATGGCGCCATCTCTGCTCATTGCAACCTCCGCCTCCTGGATTCAAGCGATTCTCCTGCCTCGGCCTCCTGAGTAGCTGGGACTACAGACGCACACCACCATGTCCGGGTAATTCTTGTATTTTTAGTAGAGACAGGGTTTCACCGTGTTGGCCAGGATGGTTTCGAATGTTGGCTGGGAGCGATGGCTCACATCTGTAATCCCAGCACTTTGGGAGGCCGAGGCGGGTGGATCACCTGAGGTCAGGAGTTTGAGACCAACCTGGCCAACATGGTGAAAACCCATCTTTACTGAAAATAAAAAAATTAGCTGGATGTGGTGGCACACACCTGTAGTCCCAGCTACTCAGGAGGCTGAGGCAGGAGAATCGCTTGAATCCGGGAGGTGGAGGTCGCAGTGAGCCAAGATTGCACCATTGCACTCCAGCCTGGGCAAGAGAGCGAGACTGCGTCTCGAAAACAAAAAACAAAAACAAAAACACAAACAAAAGAATTATTAAAACAGAGACTGCTAGGCCACAGCACCGCAGTTTCTGATTCAGTACGTGGGATCTGAGAATTTGCTTTTCTTGTAAGTTCCAGGTGATGTGTGTGCTGCTGGTCTGGGAACCACATTGTGAGAATTGCAGCTATAGGGTTACACTTCCTTCTTCTGGGTGCAATCATACAACTTTATCCTACACTGAATAGGGTGTGGATCATAATACAAAAAAATGCTGGGGAGGGGGCGTTATGTTAAATGTTCGAATCAAGGTGTTTAAAGAAAAAGAATGAAAATGTTACAAATCTTGTTCATGTAAAAACATACCTAACTATATTTCCCAACTTTTCTACATATGGAATGTATTATCACATTGGTCTGAAATCAAGGTATAACCAAGATCACCAGGAATAGGGAGGTAGGAAGTCATATAATAGCCATAAATTCTCCCTTTTCCACAGTGGGACATTAACAGATACCATCAAAAGTGGAAAAATTGGGAGGTAAACTACTTAAAAAGTTTAAATGATAACTAGATGATGAACCAAAAATCAAAGACTATTCAAAAGAAGTGCCTCGTATCCAAGAGAAATGAAGACATGTCCACACAAAATCTTGTACACGAATGTTCATAGCGCCATTATTAATAATAATTTAGAAGTGGAAATGACTCAAAGTTCATCAGCTGATGCATAGATGAAGATAAAGTAGGCTGTCTACACAATGGAATACTATTTGATGATAAAAAATGAAATACTGTGCATGCCACAAATGGATAAACTTTGAAAACATTACGCTAAGTGAAAGAAGCCAGTCACAAAAGACCACATATTGTATGATTCTACTTATGAGAAATGTTTTAGAATAGGCAAAGCTAGAGACAGATGGTCGATTAGTGGTTGCCTGGGGCTTGGAGGAGGAGGGATGGAGAGTGATTGCTAATGGGTACGGGGTTTCTTTTTATTTTTTAATTTTTTTGAGACGGAGTTTTGCTCTTGTTGCCTAGGCTGGAGTGCAATGGGGCAATCTTGGCTCACTGCAACCTCTGCCTCCTGGGTTCAAGCGATTCTCCTGCCTCAGCCTCCCTAGTAGCTGGGGTTACAGGGGCCCACCACCACCACGCCCAGCTAATTTTTTTTGCATTTTTAGTAGAGACAGGGTTTCACTATGTTGGCCGGGCTGTTCTCGAACTCCTGACCTCAGGCGATCCACCCGCCTCAGCCTCCCAAATTGCTGGGAATACAGGCGTGAGCCACCGTGCCTGGCTGGGTATGGGGTTTCTTTTTGGGGTGTTGAAAACATTCTAAAATTGTGGATGATGATTGCAAACCTTGTGAACACATTAAAAACCACTCAACTGTACACCTTAACACGGGTCAATTTTATGATATGTGAAATGTATTTCAATTAAAAAAATCCAAGTGCCTCTGGGTAGTAGAATCTTCAAGGTGAGGGGGATATAAGAGTCATGCTTTTGAATTTTGGATCCTTTTGCATAGTAGGACAGCACAGTTTCTTTATAAGCCATGGCCGGAAATAGCTTTAATTTTTCAAAAACAATTTTTTTTTTGAGACAAGGTCTCTCTCTGTTGCCCCAGCTGGAGTGCAGTGGCACGATCACCACTCACTGCAGCCTCAAACTCCTGGGCTCAAGCAATCCTCCCACTTCAGCCTCCCAAGTAGCTGGACTACAGGCACACACCACCGTGCCTGGCTCATTTTTCAGTTTTTGTGGAAACAGGGGTCTCCCTATGTTGCCCAGGCTAGTCTTGAACTTCTAGGCTCAAGTGATCCTTTCCGCCTTGGCCTCCCAAAGTGCTTGGATTACAGGTGTAAGCCACTGCACCCCGCACAAACACAAATTTGTTTTAAAAATAGATAAAACAAAGGGCAACAACATAGAGATCTGGCCAAATAGATTCCAGCACATCTGTACAATGGAATACTATGCTATTATGGCAAAGAATGAGATCTATATCTACGTGTGTGGACATAGATGTCCTTCATATAAAGTTAGTCAAAAAGCAGGTTGCATTACAACATGAATACCATGATGACATCAATGGAAAAAGTTTCATAAATAGGTTACAAAATTTAAAAGATACATGCAGGCCGGGAGCGGCGACTCAAGCCTATAATCTCAGCACTTTGGGAGGCCGAGGAGGGTGGATCACCTGAGGTTGGGAGTTCGAGACCAGCCTGACCAACATGAAGAGACCCCCGTCTCTACTAAAAATGCAAAATTAGCCAGGCATGGTGGTGCATGCCTGTAATCCCAGCTGTTTGGGAGGCTGAGGCAGGAGAATCGCTTGAACCTGGGAGGCAGAGGTTGTGGTGAGCTGAGATCATGCCGTTGCACTCCAGCCTGGGAAACAAGAGTGAAACTCCATCTCAAAAAAAAAAAAAAAAAAAAAAAAGATGCATGCAAACTATAGGATGTCCACTATAATTGGCAGCTTCCCTTTTGTTTCTTTTCCTCTGTGTAGAAGCTAGATGGGTTGGGTAGAATAAACCCCTGCCACACATTCAGGGTTGACCCCTGACTCTCCAAACCAATCAGCAGAACTCCACCCTTCTCACCACAGAGACTATCCAGGGATGGGCATATTGCATTTTTTTAGTACAGCAAGGTTTGTTTTCCTTTCTTTCTTTTGGTTTTCAACATTCTTGAATGTTCTGCAAACAAATTTTAGGCAGCTTAAAATTACAGCAGAGATTAACAGTTTTGCCAGATTAACCTTGGTTAAGGGGCCATTTTCCCCGCAAGACCTAGTCTCTTTGACAGGGGGTGGGATTGGGGTGGCCTAATGGCCTAGCTCCAAGAATCTCCGGGGGTGGGACCCAGGCGTCAGTGTTTTTTAAATCTTCCTAGGTAATATCAGTGTGCTCCAAAGGTTGAGAATAACTGCTTTAAGTTGAACGAAGGATGTTGGAACTCTTTTCTTTCGCTGCAGTGGCCAAAGCCATGAGAATGTTTGGGCTTCAGAAGGGGCTTGCCTCTAGTGCCCTCTGCCGTGGCAAAAAGAAGGTCTGGTTGGACCCCAATGAGACCAGTGAAATTGCCAAGGCCACCTCCCACCAGCAGATCTGGAAGCTGATCAAAGATGGGCTAATTATCCATAAGCCTGTGACTGTCCATTCCCTGGCTGGATGATGGGAAAACACCTTGGCCCGCCAGAAGGGCAGGCACATGGGCATAGGTAAGCCAAAGGGTGTAGCCCTTTGCCAGAGAAAGTAACCTGGATGAGGAGAATGAGGATTCTGCGCCACCTGCTCTGAAGATACCATGGATCGAAGAAGATTGATCACCACACGTATCACAGCTTGTACCTGAAGGTGGAGGGGAATGTATTCAAAAAACAACTGGATTCTCACGGAACATATCCATGAGCTGACGGCAGACAAAGCCTGTGAAAAGCTCCCAGCTGAACAGGCTCAGGCCCACAGATCCAAGACCAAGGAAACACACAAGCACTGTGAAGAGCACCTCCGGGCCAAGAAGGAGAAGATCAAGACTTGCCCAAGGAGGAAGAAACTAAGAAATAGAAGCTCCCCATTTCTTGTCTGTAGATAGCACTCTTGGTGATTACATAGATCAGTCATTAAAATAAAACAAGGCTTTTTCTGCTTGCAAAAAAAAAAAAAAGTTGAGCTAAGAATGTTAACAGGGGATTTCTGGATACATTTCTTTTCTTTTTTTTTTTTTTTTTTTTTTGAGACGGAGTCTCGCTCTTGTCCCCAGGCTGGAGTGCAATGGCACAACCTTGGCTCACTGCAACCTCCGCCTCCCAGGTTCAAGCAATTCTCCTGCCTCAGCCTCCTGAGTAGATGGGATTACAGGCGCCTGCCACCATGCCCGGCTAATTTTTGTATTTTTAGTAGAGATGGGGTCTCGCCATGTTGGCTAGGCTGGTCTCAAACTCCTAACTTCAGGTAATCCACCTGCCTCGGCCTCCCAAAGTGCTGGGATTTCAGGCGTGAGCTGCCACACCCGGCCAATACATTTATTATCAGAAACAGTCAAGTGGTAATGAGCCAGGGAAGGGGTGACCACTTGTGAATGACAAGAAAAAGAGGAAATCTCATGAAAATTTTGTTGACTTGCTATATAGTAAGAGAAGAACTATCGTTATATAACTATACACAAATATAAATTTCCTTTGTAATAAACCTATGAAGCTTAAATAAGAAAATATACATAGAAGTGTACTGAAGTATTAAATCCCACACAAACCTCAGGTGTTACTATTTTTCTTCTACAGATTGTGATCCTTTGACATTTACATAGGAATGTCTTGCATTGATTGTTCTTCCTAATATATTTTGTTTGTTTATTTATTTATTTTCAGCTGGAGTCTTGCTCTGTTACCTAGGCTGGAGTGCAGTGGTGCAATCTTCGCTCACTGCAACCTCTGCCTCCCAGGTTCAAGTGATTCTCCTGCCTCAGCCTCCCAAGTAGCTGGGATTACAGGCCCCGGCACTATGCCTGGCTAATTTTTGTGTTTTTAGTAGAGACAGCGTTTCACTAGGTTGGCCAGGTTGGTCTCAAACTCCTGACCTCAGGTGATCTGCCTGCTTGAACCTGGGAGGCGGAGATTGCAGTGAGCCGAGATTGTGCCATTACTCCAGCCTGGGCAACAAGAGTGAAACTCCATCTCAAAAAAAAAAAAAAATTCTTTTCTGTGGCTAAAAAATATTCTATTGGGTATGGAAGGAGCATACCTCAACATGATAAAGACCCTATATGACAAACCCACAGCAAATTATCACACTGAATGGGGTGAAATTGAAAGCCTTTCCACTAAGACCTGAAACAAGATATGGATGCTGTCAGATCCCAGGGTCCAGGTCCAGCCCATGCTGAAGTCCGAGGTGAGTGGGTAGATGAGCAGAAAGAACACTCGGGGGCTGTAGGCAGGTGGAAGATGATTTTATTCAGCAGCAGCTCTCATCAACAGCTTTCTCACACTGTCTGCCCTGCCTCCGCTGCTTGAGCTGGCATCTCCCACATACAGCTGCGCAGCCAGCTCTACCCTGCCTTCAGGGTCAGCAACTTAACTCTTTGTCTCTCTGGGCACGAGCGGGCTGAGCTGTGTCCTGGCTCCCCCTTGTCCATCTGCAAAGATGGACAGCTCTGGCTCTCTCTCTTTCTCTGGGCGCCAGGGCACCTGCACAGTGTCCACAGGGCAATTATCCCTTTAACAGACAATAGTGGTGTAGAGCCAAGTGATGGCCTTTCCCATGCTATGGCAACATGGCTGTGTTAACAGTGGAATTATACGCCTGCACTCTAAACTTGCTGAGTCACGCAGGATGTAAACATCCTACCTTGGCCTATCCTTGACCAAAGCACAGCCATGTTCCTCACAGATGCTCACTCTGGCCACTTGTGTTCAACACAGTACTGGGAAGCTTGTATAACTCTTAGAGCTCAGGCCAATCAAATCGGACTCTTGGAAGGTACACCCAGGCACCAGTGATTCCCTAAAGCTGCCCAGGTGATTTCAACATGCAGCCAACTTTGAAAACCACTTTTATGGTATTTTTCTCAGAGGCTTTTCAGACAATGCATACTGAAATACAGACGGGCCAAGAGAGAACATTAGAGGGGACAGGGCCCTTGTCACTTCTGGAAATACGCCTTGCAGAAAATAAGCAAATATTGCAAACTTGGCATCTGAAAAAGTATCTTGCATCTATACAGAACTTAAATAAATTTATAAGATAAAACAAAAACTCCATTAAAAAGCAGGCAAAGGACATGAACACTTTGCAAAAGAAGACATACATGCAGCCAACAAGCATATGAAAAAAGGCTCAATATCACTGGTCATTAGAGAAATGCAAAGTAAAACCACAATGAGATAACCACCTCATATCAGTCAGAACAACTATTATTAAAAAGTCAAAAAATAACAGATGCTGGTGAGGTTGCAAAGAAAAGGGAATGCTTAGGTACTGTTGGTGGGAGAGTAGATTAGTTGAACCATTGTGGAAAGCAGGGTGGTGATTCCTCAAACAGCTAAAAACAGAACTGTCATTCAACCCAGCAATCCCATTACTGGCTACATACTCAAAGGAATATAAATTGTTCTACCATAAAGACACATATGATTGTATGTGCATCACAGCACTATTCACAATAGCAAAGACATGGAATCAACCCAAATGCTCATCAATGGTAGACTGGATAAAGAAAATGTGGTACATATACATCATGGACTACTACGCAGCCATAAAAAAGAATGAGATCATGAGAATTACAGAAACATGGATGGAGCTGGAGGCCATTATCCTTAGCAACCTAATGCAGGAGTAGAAAACCAAATACCACAGGTTCTTACTTATAAGTGGGAGCTAAATGATGAGAACACATGAACACATAGAAGGGAACACAGACACTGGGGCCTGTTGAGGGTGGAGGGTGGGAGAGGGAGAGGATCAGAAAAAATAACTACTGGGTACTAGGCTGAGCACCTGGTTGATGAAATAATCTGTACAACAAACCCGTGACATAAGTTTACCTATATAACAAACCTGCACATGTACGTCTGAACCTGAAATAAAAGTTAAAAAAAATAAAGAAAATAAGTAACTATGTTTAGTTCATTACCTTCCGTCATCTGGGCCTCCTAGTGATACCAAGTACAAATCATTTGGAGAAAAGGCCAGAGCTTCAATTTTGCCTTTGTGAAGGGACAGCCGAGCAAGCAGCTCTCTGTTCTTATAATCCCACAAAATGATGTCTGCCTGGGGGCAAGAACACACCGTCAGATCATAGGGAGGCATTAAAAGCATCTGAGGAGATAGCTACCCTTCTTGGTGAAAAACAATTAGTACTGTCACTTTTCTTTTTTCTTTCTTTTTTTTTTTTTTTTTGTTGAGACGGAGTCTCACTCTTTTTTGCCCAGGCTGGAGTGCAATGGCGAGATCTCTGCTCACTGCAACATCCACCTCCTGGGTTCAAGCACTTCTCCCTGTCTCAGCCTCCCGAGTAGCTGGGATTACAGGCATGCACCAGCACGCCCTGCTAATTTTGTATTTTTAGTAGAGATGGGGTTTCACCATGTTGGCTAGGCTGGTCTCGAACTCCTGACCTCAGGGGATCCGACCGTCTAGGCCTCCCAAAGTGCTGGGATTACAGGCATGAGCCACCGCGCCCAGCCCGCTCTATCACTTTTCTAGAAATCGGATCAGGTTCTACAAACATGACAGCAACACAATGGAAACAGCTTTAAGCGGGAACTTTTGTTTGTGAGCATTATCAGTCACAAGCTGCAACCTCGGGTATAAAATCATCAGAGTCCTTCACTCCCGGTCTGACGGAATGAAAATGGGTTAAAAGAGAAGTCAAAAAGAAGAAGAAGGAAGAATAAAGCACATTGCCACATAGAACTAACAACTTGAAGTGGGGCAGTTCTTCTAGGGAGGCACCTCTAGATAAATTGACAATGAGTCGTTTTCACTGTATTCACCTTGAACCCCATGAATGTGACTTGTCCGGAGGCGATGTACTCTCCAGACCTGGAGATGGCCAAGCAGGAGACGTTGTTGCCATGACCCTGTAGGAAGTTCTGCTCTTTAGTATTTATTGCCTGAATGAGGACTGTGCAACCAAGAGGATAAATCATATGCTCCTGGTCAGGATGGCATTTGAGACCAGTGGGCACATGTCCTAAAAGAGAGAGATTCACAGTAATAATAATCAGGTGCAGAAGTGGCCAGGAATTTTCTACTTGAGTACAAAACACAACACTTTGTGTGTGTGTGTGTGTGTGACAGAGTCTTGCACTTGTCACCCAGCCTGGGGTGCAATGGTGCAGTCTTGGGCTCACTGCAACCTTCACCTCCTGGGTTCAAGTGATTCTCCTGCTTCAGCCTCCCGAGTAGCTGGGATTACAGGCACCCGCCACCACACCTGGCTAATTTTTTTTTGTATTTTTAGTAGAGACGGGGTTTCACCATGTTGGTCAGGCTGGTCTTGAACTGCTGACCTCGTGATCCGTCCACCTTAGCCTCCCAAAGTGCTGGGATTACAGGTGTGAGCCACCGCGCCCGGCCAACACTTTAAAAATAAGCCTTAGTTCAGCTAAAAGAAGTTGGGGAAATAGGTAATTTTATTTCACTGACAAAAACGTTCATCTAGTAATCACATCTTAAACTTTGATGTTTATAAAAATCCCTGAGGGATCCTGTTAAAATGCAGATTCTGATTTCAGGTCTGAGAAGGGGTTGAGATTCTGTATTTCTCATAAGCTCCTAAGTGATGCTGATGCTGGTCCAGCAAGTCCTACGGCCAATTCTCGTAATCCTAAAAAGCACGAATGCATGGAGTGTGAGCAGCCTGCTTGGGTGAGTGCACAGGCATAGGGAGAATGGGAGTCAACTACCTCAGGCAAAGGTTGGGTAAATATAAAAATTTGGCCTATTTTACTTCACAAAGCATAATATTCTCCAGGTTAATCCATGTCTTTACAAATGGCATGATTTCCTTCTTTTTAAAGGCTAAGTAATATTACATTGTGTGGCCAGGCACGGTTGCTCACCCTTGTAATCCCAGCACTTGGGAGGCCGAGGCAGGCGGATCACCTGAGGTCAGGAGTTCAAGACCAGCCTGGCCAACATGGTGAAACCCGGTCTCTACTAAAAATACAAAAAATTAGCTGGGCTTGGTGGTGGGCACCTGTAATCCCAGCTACTCGGGAGGCTGAGGCAGGAGAATCACTGGAACCCACGAGGCGGAGGTTGCAGTGAGCCGAGATCACACTATTGCACTCCAGCCTGGTTGACAAGAGCAAAATTCCATCTCAAAAAATGAACAAATAAATTAAAAAAAAAATACTGCATTAATCTGCTAAAAGAGTTGATCTTAAGTGTTTTCATCACACACAAAAAGTAACTATGTGAAGTGAATATGTTAATTAGTTTGATCGTAGACATCATTTCACAATGTATATGTCTATCAACACATTGTGTTATACACTTTAAATTGATACAACCTTAATATGTCAAGTATGCCTCAATATAACCAGGAAAATAATTTTTTTAACTTTCGGTTTCAGTTCTGAGTGCCCACCAGGTGCTCTGAAGAGCCTGGGACCTTTCATGGTGACACCTCTTTCCACAGGCAACTCCCGTACTCCAAATATCTGCCAAGGTAACACTACTGCTTCCATGTTAGAGAAAAGTTTGTATGCTTGAATGTAATTATTGTTTTGCTTGAGTTGGTAGTTTATTCACTAAAAACAGTTTCAGGAGAACAGGACCTTCAGCAAAAATAAAAGAAAATACAATGACCAACAACTCTGGGAATGGGCTGACCAGCCTGGTAAGAACAGGGCAGATGGCATCTGCAGAAGGCCCCAACATATTGACTAACTGCCTACCTGAGACTGCACATGTTTCACAAAAATGCTTTGATCATTATTCCTCTAATTTCCCTGATTCAGAGACTCAACTCGGTGAGGTGGTCTTTGAACGCTAGTTTATTGTCTCCCCTGGGTTGCTGGCTTCTCCAATAAAGCTAACCTTCCTTTCACCAAAGCTCATCTCTTGAGTTTTTAGCTTTCAAGTGACAAGTGGCCCAAACTTGATTTTGGTTATACCAAGAACCATCTCAACAATTATAAACCCTTGTAATATGTTTTAATATGAAACAGACCCAGGTCCTCCATTATTGCTCACCTATGGTCAGAATTTTTTTGATTGCTCTTCGTGTTTATTTTACAATACAAACTTGCATGTCACCTTGGCTATTTAAAATTCATGATTGTGTTTTTAGTGAGATAGTATTAAATGTATAGATTAACTTAAGGGAAAATGATTTTTATAATAATATAAAATACCTCTATTTTAAAAACAGGATATGTTTCTTCATAAGTCTCCTTTTATGCCTTCTAGTAGCATTTTCCATTTTTTTCATAAAGATCTCACTCATTTCTTATTACATTTATTCTTGGGTTTTTAAAAAACTTTTTTGTTGCTATCTCCTTCTCCATCGAAAGACTCATAAATATTTATTAATATAATCTTCTTGTTCTTAAATGAATGCTTCTTTTATATTTAACTCCCTCTGGAATTTATTTTGGTGCTTTATGTGATTCCTGTAGCTAAATGGATTATTTTTGCTCAAATGGCCAAATGTAATTATTGAATAAATGATTTTTTTTCATTTTAATTGAGTGTTCCTTTTTTATGCAGTATGTTCTTATAATACCAAGGTTTATGTCTTTAGGGTGATCTATTCCTACTAAAAATTTTTTATAGTTTTCTAATTGCAGGTTCTTTATAAACAATCATATGGCTATCCATATGGAAAAATTAAACTTAGATTCATAATTCACACCTTACACAAACAATATCTTCCAGGTAGATCAAAGACCTAAATGTGAAAAACAAGACAGTGTGTACAAAAGTAAGAAATGACTTTCCAACTATGACACAAAAAGAGCAAATCATAAAAGAAAAGGCTGAAATATTTACCCAGTTATGTGAAAAATGAAAAACATCTAGGCTGGGCTGGGTGGCTCATGCCTGTAATCCCAGCACTTTGGGAGGCCGAGGCAGGCAGATCACTCGAGGCTGGGAGTTTGAGACCAGCCTAGCCAATATGGCGAAACCCTGTCTCTACTAAAAATACAAAAATTAGCTGGGCGTAGTGGTGGACACCTATAATCCCAGCTACTTGAGAGGCTGAGGCAGGAGAATCGCTTAAACCTGGGAGGTGGATGTTGCAGTGAGCTGAGATTGTGCCACTGCACTCCAGCCTGGGTGACAGAGTGAGACTCTTTCTCAAAAAATCAAAAAATTTAATTACTAAAGACATTGTTATTGGAAGGATGAAGAGAAAAACACAAACAAGAAGATATTTTCAATGTATACAATAGACAAAGGATCATCTCCATAATATACGAAGAACTCCTACAAGGCAATAAGGAAAACATATGCTTCTCAATAGAAAAATGAGCAAAGGATATGGATAGCCAGTTTATGCTGAAGGAAATTCAAAACCCAATAAACCTACAAAAAGAGATGCAACCTCATAAGTAACCAGGAAAATGTAAATTATGTCCGAAATGAGATACCATGTCATATCCACCAAAATGGCTAAAATTAAGATGGCTGACAGTACCAGGCATCTGTGTTGATGTGGAACAAAGCCAACACTCATAAAATGCTTGGTGGGAGAGTAAATCGGTCTAATCGTTTTGGAAAACAATGTGTCTTTATTGATGATGCTTGAATGCGCACATGCCCCAGGACCCAGCTACTCTATTCTTAGGTGTGCAACCTGCCCAGAGATAACCTTGTAACATGCAGGTGTGTATTTCTTCAGATTTATTTTTGTTTTTGCATTTAAAAATTATGGTTCTTGGTTGCAAACTAGAAGAGTCAACTCTGGCTAAATGTAGCAGAAAAAGAATTATA